>NC_000003.12:127493452-127644967 GCF_000001405.40 Homo sapiens | reverse complement strand
AGAGATTGACCTGAGGAAACGTAAGGCGAGGGGACAGGTCAAGAGAGGAGCAATGAGGGACAGGACTGAAGCAACTCTCCTCCCTGCACCTGCCTGGCCTCCTGGCCTCCTCCCTGCACCTCCTCTGCCTCCTGGCCTCCTCCCTGCACCTCCCTAGCCTTCTGCCCATCCTGGGTAGGGTGATTGGTATCTCCACCTCACAGCCAAGCTGTATGCAGCTGTGGTGAGGACTAGAGACAATCGAGGCAAAGGCCTATGCATAGCCGGTATTCAATGAATGAGAGCTATTTTTATTCTTATGAGACCTAGGGAAGGAAATGGGAGAGGAAGAGACATGAACTGAAAGAAAAAGAAAGGGAAACGAATCCCCTGGGGAGGGGGGAGGACAACAAATCGAGCTCATCAAGGCTTCAGGGCCCTCCACTGTGGTCCTGAGGCCAATGCTCTCTGCGTGACTGCTTACCTCACACTAGACGCTCAATAGTCTCAACAAAAGGGAAAGGCCAGAAAAAGACCCAATAATTGTCTGGTACAATGTAAAAGTTTGTTTAAATCATTCCTTGGCCAGGCACAGCGGCTCACACCTGTAATCACAATACTTTGGGAGGCTAAGGTGGGTGATCACTTGAGGTCAGGAGTTCAGTCAGCCTGGGCAACACGGTAAAACCCACCTCTACTAAAATTACAAAAATTAGCTGGGCATGGTGGCACGCCTGTAATCCCAGTTACCAGGGAGTCTGAGGCAGGAGGATCACTTGAACCTCGGAGGCAGAGGTTGCAGTAAGCAGAGATCACACCACTGCACTCCAGCCTGGGCAACAGAGTGAGACTCCATCTCAAAACAACAACAGCAACAAAATATCATTTCTTTAAAATGATAAGAGGACAGATTTATCAATGGATGCCGCCATGACAATAGATGATCTATATGGAGAAAATGAAATTAGATCCTTATCTTACACCACACACAAAAATAAATTACAGCTAGATTGGACTTAAATGTAAAAAATTAAGCTAAAGAATAGAAGGGGCCAGGCGTGCTGGCTCACACCTGTAATCCCAGCACTTTGGGAGGCTGAGGCAGGTGGATTGCTTGAGCCCAGGAGTTCAAGACCAGCCTGGGAAACATGGCAAAACCCTGTCTCTACAAAAAACAGAAAAATTAACCAGGCGTGGTGGGGTACACCAGTAGTCCCAGCTACCTGGGAGGCTGAAGCAGGAGGATCGATTGAGCCCAGGAGGTCAAGGCTGCAGTGAGCTGAGATTGTGCTGCTGCACTCCAGCCTGAGGTACAAAGCGAGACCCTGTGTCCAAAAAATAAAAATAATTTTAAAAAAAGAATTTACATTAAAAAAAAAGAATAGAAGGAAGAAAGGTGCATGTATCTCAAGGGCAGAAAGTATTTTCTAATCATAAAGTAAAGAAAAACACATAAAAACATTTTAAAAGAAGTAATTTTGCTGGGTGTGGTGGCTCATGCCTGTAATCCCAACACTTTGAGAGGCTGAGGCAGGTGGATCACTTGAGATCAGGAGTTTGAAACCAGCCTGGCCAACATAGTGAAATCCCATCTCTACTAAAAATACAAAATTAGCTGGGCGTGGTGGCACATGCCTATAATCCCAGCTACTTGGGAAGCTGAGGTAGGAGAATTGCTTGAACTTGGGAGGCAGAGGTTGCAGTGAGCTGAGATCACACCATTGCACTCCAGCCTGGGTGACTAGAGCAAAACTCCATCTCGAAGAAAAAAAAAGTAATTTTAAGCTTATAAAATATTTAATTTCTTTATGCCAAAAATTATAATAAAAATACAAGCAGTTGACAAACTGGAAAAATGTTTTCTACGTATGTCAGAGGAAAGTTAGTATCCTTTTTCAGATTTGTACAGGGATAAGAAAAAATTAAAGACTCAATAGAAAAAAACAGGAAAGTAATAATAATAGCTAATAGTCACAGAGCACTTAACAATGTGCCAAGCACTGAGCTGAGTGCTCGAAATGTATGATGGTGTGTGAACCTCACAACCCTGTGAGGTAGGTATATAATTATCTCCATTTCCTAGATGGGAAACTGAGGCTTAGGGTTAGTTACTCGCCAAAAATTGCATCACTGTTAAATGACAGCACTGGAGCCTTCCTGACTCCAAAGCCTGTTCTCTTAACTACACTGTGCTTCAAATAAAAAAGAAGAGTGATAAGTGGTCACTATTTTTGTGTATATGTATATTCTATAGAATACACATATTCTGTATATAATGAACGTACACATATGTTTTGTACATATATGAGTTAAAATATACTAGTAATCAAAGGCCATTATAATTTTTCCTATCAAACTGACAAGGGAAAGAGAGAACACTTGGTGGGGGGTGCGGCGTTCATTCTCTTCGTCTCCTCCCATATCTGGCCACCTCTCTACACCACTTTCCCTGCAGGCTCCCATCTTCATCCCTTCCCTGGTCTCACTGTGCCTAGAGATGGTAAGCACTCAGCTGTTGCTAGCCACAGATCCTTAGCCAAAGGACTTGTGAGTCCTTTGGTAGTTCACCTGTATCCAGCCCATACCTTCATAAATCTGCTGCTTCATAAACAAACTCTCCTTAGATTGTTTTAATTTGATTGTGTCTTCTGTTTCCGCGTGGGATGCTGACTGATACATCTTTTTTTTTTTTTTTTTCTGAGATGGAGTCTCGCTCTGTCCCCCAGGCTGGAGTGCAGTGGTGCAATCTCAGCTCACTGCAACCTCCACCTCCCAGGTTCAAGCAACTCTCCTGCCTCAGCCTCCTGAGTAGCTAGGTTCACAGGCGTCCGCCACCACACCTGGCTAATTTTTGTATTTTTAGTAGAGACGGAGTTACACCATGTTGGCCAGGCTGGTCTCGAACTCCGGACCTCATGATCTGCCCACCTCGAACTCCCAAAGTGCCGGAATCACAGGCGTGAGCCACGTGCCCGGCCCTAATACATCTTTTGACCTATCAATTTTATTCTAGAAATTTATCCTAAGGAAACCACCAGGAAGGTGCGAAAATGTGTAAGGATATTTGTAGCAGAATTAAAACTGAAGACAACCTAAGTATTCAACAGTAGGGAACCAGTTTAATACACCTGATGACCCACATGATGAAATATAACGTAGTTGTTAAAAATCAGGGCTGGGCACGGTGGCTCATGCCTGTAATCCCAGCACTTTGGGAGGCCGAGGTGGGCACATCACCTGAGGTCAGGAGTTCGAGACTAGCCTGACCAACATGGAGAAACCCTGTCTCTACTAAAAAAAATACAAAATTATTCGGGCATGGTGGCACATGCCTATGATCCCAGCTACTCAGGAGGCTGAGGCAGGACAACCGCTTGAACCTGGGAGGCGGAGGTTGTGGTGAGCCAAGATGGCACCACTGCACTCCAGCCTGGGCAACAAGAGCAAAACTCCGTCTCAAGAAAAAAAAATCAAGTTATAAGCCAGGCACAGTGGTTCACAGCTATAATCTTAGCACTTTGGGAGGCCAAGGGAGGAGGATCGCTTGAGCCCAGGAGTTCAAGACCAGCCTGGGCAACATAGCAAGACCCCATCACTACAAAAAAATGAAAAAATTAGTCAGGCATGGTGGCACATTTTTGGTCCCTGCTACCTACGAGGCTGAGGTGGGAGGATCGCTTGAGCCCAGGAGTTCGAGGTTACAGTGAACTATGATCACACCTGAACAATGGAGCAAAACCTCAACTCTAAACATAAATAAATAAATAATAACATGTTGTCCGGGTGCGGTGGCTCAGACCTGTAATCCCAGCACTTTGGGAGGCCGAGACGGGCAGATCACTTGAGGTCAGGAGTTAGAGACCAGCCTGGCCAACATGGTGAAACCCTGTCTTTACTAAAAATACAAAAATTAGCTGGGTGTGATGGCGCATGCCTGTAATCCCAGCTACTCGGAGGCTGAGGCAGGAGAATCACTTGAACTCAGGAAATGAAGGTTACAGTGAGCCAAGGTCACGCCACTGCACTCTAGCCCAGGTGACAGAGCAAGACTCCATCTCAAAAAAATAAATAAATAATAACATGTTTAAAAATCAGGTTATAAATGGATATTTAACAATGCGGAAATATACTTATGAAATATTTTGAGTGAAAACAAAATGTCCCTATGATTCCAATTTTGCACATAAAGTGACTAGAACAATGTATCCCCAAACTACTAATAGTAATTATCTTTCAATTATCAGGTTATAGGTAGTTTTTATTTTTTATTTTATTTTATTTTTTTTTGAGATAGAGTTTTGTTCTTGTCGCCCAGGCTGGAGAGCAGTGGTGCGATCTCAGCTCACTGCAACCTCCACCTCCCGGGTTCAAGCCATTCTCCTGCCTCAGCCTCCTGAGTAGATGGGATTACAGATGCCCGCAATCATGTCCAGCTAATTTTTGTATTTTTAGTGGAGACAGGGTTTCACCATGTTGGCCAGGCTGTTCTCAAACTCCTGACCCCAAGTGATCCACCCGCCTCAGCCTCCCAAAGTGCTGGGATTACAGACGTGAGCCACCACACCCAGCCTTATTTTCTTCTTTGTATTATTTTTGTGTGTTTCAGATTTTCTACAATGTTCATGTGTTCTTTTATAATTAGAAAAGGTAAATCCAATAAATATTACCTATTTTAAAAAGAAAAATTAAAGGTTAAGTTCTGTAACACCTTGCCCCATGTGCACACACAATCACACCAATTCCTCAGTCCCTACTAAGAGATGGGGCCCTGCTGGCCCAGGACATTGGTGGAGGGGCCATGCCTGCATCTGTATCAATGTCAGCTCATGGCGGTGGGCATTCAAACCTGGAGCCCTAGGCCTCGGGCTTTCTTCGGGACCCAAATGTTCACCAGCTGGGCTCTGTAGATCCAAACACCAGCTCTAGCTCTGGTGCATGACTGAGGGAAGGGCGGTTAGAATGCCTCAATTGCTGGTCGGATAGACTCAAGGAAACATGGATCAGCTGACCTTGTGGCAATCTTCAACAGAGACAGCATAGAGCAGTAGGGAAAAACAAAACAATGAGCCCCAGGGCTTGGAAAGCCATAGGTCTGAATCATGACTGAGCATCTGAGCTGCTGTTTGACCTCAGGCCAGCTTTTAACCTCTCAGTCTCAGTGTTTTCTTGTCTACAAGGGGGGTCATATTACTTATCTCTCAGGTTATAAGCATCAGATTGAATTAAATGAGCACAGAATAAAGGCTCCCTAAACAGTGGTTAGTATTAAAGAGAAAGGGCCTCCTGGGCCTGTGAGACATTCAGGGTCCCAGAGCCTTTGCTCTGATGTGCAGGTAAACAGCAGCAGCATGGTAAAAACTGTAGGGAGAGAGAAGAGATGCTTCTGGCAAGGAAATGGTCACCTGGTGTTTTGCCTAGACACTTGGCTGGCACTCAACACATGCTCTGTAGGTAAGAAGAGCTACCTGCAGTGGGTCCCAGGTCCAGACTTGAGTCATTCAGCTCTTCCTCCTCTTCCCAGAAGTACTGTGGTGGCTGCAGAATCCGAGACTCTTCATTCTCTTCGCTGGGGAAGCCTGAGCCAGGGGCTCCCAGCCCAGCTCCCAGGCCCATGGTCTCACTAGGCTCCTCTGAGTCCAGTGGCTCCAAGCCAGTGGGCAGCAGGAGGTCTAGCAGGGAGGTGGAGGTGAGGCCCTCTGGGCCAGGCTCATCAGACCCAGCCACACAGGCACCCAGGAACGCTCCTGTGCAGACATAAAAGCCAGACAGTCAGGGGAGGCTAGAGAAGACACAAGACTGGTGCCAGGTTAGAGCATGTCTCAAATGACAAAGGTCCTGGGGAAGGGGGGACTTCAGTGGACACTCCTGAAAACCCAGAGGCTTTGCGGGGATTCTGAGACACTATTTTCATTTCAAAAAGGCCAAATTGCTTAGACTTCCCTATGGCAGGGGCAAGGGGAGACAGATGGAGACAGGCAGGGGAGAGAGAGGAATCACTGAGTCAGTGTTCCACTGCGCATGTGGTCACTCAGAAAATGCCTCCTGAGTACCCTCTCTCTGTTGGCAATTGTACTGGGTGTTGGAGCTACAAACTGAAGTGAAGACAGGGCCCATGCTTTTAAGGACCTAGCAGTATGATTGGACGAACACAGTGTTCCCCAGGCTTCCATCCTTGGCTGAAATTTCTCCAAAACTGCATTATGAATATCATTTGTATTTCAGCAATACAGTATCCTGAACATAGTCTTTAGTTTTTTTATTTTTTATTTTTTTTGAGATGGAGTCTTGCTCTGTCGCCCAGGCTGGAGTACAGTGGTGCAATCTTGGCTCACTGCAATCTCCGCCTCCCAGGTTCAAGTGATTCTCCTGCCTCAGCCCCCCAAGTAGCTGGCATTACAGGTGCCCACCACCACGCCTGGCTAATTTTTGTATTTTTAGTACAGACAGGGTTTCGCCATGTTGGTCAGGCTGGTTTTGAACTCGTGACCTCAAGTGATCTGCCCTCCTAGGCCTCCCAAAGTGCTGGCATTACAGGCGTGCGCCACTGAGCCCAGCCTCTGAACGTAGTCTTTTAAAAAACCACGTGAGGTCACAGTTCAAACTCAACCCAGTGCTGGTAATTTGACATATTTGTTTAGAATCTTGGATTCTCTCTCTCTCCTAATTTACCAAAACAAGCAAATAAATGGACAGGAAAACAAATTAAAGGAGGCCTTTTTCCTCTTCTTTCACTCTCATTCTTTAAGGACAGGAATATAGCCCTATTTGCCAGTTTCACAACTTAACCTCTAACTTAATGACCTAACCACACAAATTACTAACTTGCTGTGAGGCTCCTGGAAAGCTGCTCAAGACCTCTGGGTCTCAGTCTCCTCACCAGATAGACAAGGAAGCTAAATGAAATGACCTCTGAATTCTTTTCCAAGACTAACACTTAAGGATCTAGGGAAGAGGGAATTTCACAGTCTTCCTCTTGCTCTACACCAGATGTGTACTGTGACCTGACTTGACTACAGTACATGGCAATTTTTAGTGATGCTTATAATAAAAATAGGGCTAATATTATTGGTGCCATGTGCTTTGCTGAGCAGGCCCTAAGCTTGATACGTGCCAATACTGTGACTGGCCACTGAAAAAAATGAGCATTTCAGACTGTCCTGTGAGTCTCCGTATGAGGGAGTCTGTGCACACTGTGCAGCAGCCAGACAACTCACAGCCAATAATGCCACATCCAGCCACAGGGGTGTATTCTGGGTTGTGTGGATGGGGGATGGGAAGTAGAGACTCCAGGGTAAGAGAGACGCCCTGAGGTCAGAGACAGGAAGATGTTCTATATAACAGGAGAGAAAGCCTGGTACCAGGAAATAGGTTACACTCTGGCTTCTCTGGCTGAGTGACTTCACCACCACCAGCCTTGCTCTCCTCCTCTGTGTAATAAGGACACCAATTCCTACCATGCCTCCAGTGTGAGGGGCACCAAATGAGGTAATTGGTGAGCCATGTGTGAAAGCTGCTCTACAAAGAGCTTTACAAACCAAACTATTCTACAAATATTGTGTTATTATCCTATATAAAAAACAGAGACCTGTGAAGTTCATGGCCCGGGGAAAAAAATATTTAAAAGAGACCATGGTATCTTCAAATACATTAAAACAAAAGGTTGATGTGAATAAGAATATCAGAGTGATTCTACATGGCCTCAAAGCCAACGCCGGGGCTAAGGAGGCATCAGAGCCTTAGCATCTGACCAGGGCTAGTAAACGTCTGTGCCAACCTCTAAGATCCCGTGAAGCTCTGTCTCTCAATAAGATAATTCACAGGCCCAACTCTCAGCTTTAGAAAGTATCATCATAACTAGAGGATGGGGCTGGGTGTGGTGGCTCACACCTGTAAATCCCAGCACTTTGGGAGGCCGAGGCGGGCGGATCACTTGAGGTCAAGAGGTCGAGACAGGCCTGGCCAATGTGGCAAAACTAGTCTCTCCTAAAACACAAAAACTAGCTGGGCATGGTGGCACACGCATGTAGTCTCCAGCTACTTGGTAGGCTAAGGCAGGAGAATTGCTTGAACCCGGGAGGCAGAGATTGCAGTGAACCAAGATGGTGCCATTGCACTCCAGCCTGGGCGACAGAGTGAGACTCTGTCTCAAAAAAATAAAAATAAAAAAATACCTAAAGGGTGGGCAAGCTGTGACCCTGGGCAGGTGGGAGCCAATGGCACTGCTGTGTTGCCAGTGCTCCTGAGGACTGCTCACAGGGGATTGCCTTCTGCCAAGTCCAAACCAGGAAGCTATCACACCCCATCCGGAATGTCTTCTGCTGTCCTAGGCACCATGTCCACGGACAAAGATTCTGCTTCCAGGCAGGGCCTGGCTCCACGAAGCTGAAGTCATGTTCCCAGAGCCTGTGTCTGAATCCCTGACTCAAAGAGAGAAACAGCCATCTCATATTTTGTGGTTTCTTTGAGCCAAAGGTATTTAAAAGGCAGAGAAAGCCAAGACAATCAATTTGGGGTCCACTCCCCTTGAAGTTCCCCTTTGTTCCTGGGAGAGGATGAATTAAGGACTTGTACTCTCTCTAGCTCAAGACTTTCCCATGACCTCTTCCACTCTAATTCCCCTTCACATCACGGGGGGACCCTAAGCTACTCTTGGATTTTTTCCTAGCCCGAATATTATAGAAGAAAGCAGTATCTATCCCCTACTAGGTAGATGGGAAAGAAACAGAGTGCCCTGTCCTACCCCAAAACAGTACCTTCTTAAGGTTCTTCCTGAGAGGGGTTATCCAATGACTCCCAATTAATAACACACATCTTTGCAATGAGACTTTGTAGCTCCTCCCATCAAGAGATGAAATCTAATTCTCCACTCCTTGAATCTGAGCTACCTTTGTGAGTTGCTACACAAGACAATGCAGAAGTGATGATGTGCCATTTCCAAGGCTAGGCATCAAGATACCTTGCACGCTTCCATTCTCTCAGGATTCTGCTCAAGGCTAGCCTGCAGGAAAACAGGAGCCCATGCAGAAGAGAGCCAGATCAGCTCAGTGTCCTAGCTGAAGTCCCAAAGTGAGAGAGCCAGACAAGACCAGCAAAGGTGATAAACAGCTGATGACAAACTTGAAGGAGTTCAGCTGAGACCAGAACCACCCAGCTGACTGCAGCCTAAATTGCCAAACTACAGAATCATGAGCTAAATAAATGGCTACCGTTTTAATCCAGTGCTTTCAAACTTGAACCAGCATGGAATCACCATGAGGGCTTGTTAAAACAGAGACTGTTAAGCCCACCCTAGAGTTCTGAATCCAGCTGGTCTGTGACGGGGCCCAACAATTTGCATTTCTAGCAAGTTCCCAGGTGATGCTTCTGTCCAGGGATCAGATCTTAAGAACTGAGAATCTGAAACCACTAAATTTTGGGGTGATTTATTACACAGAAATAGCCAAATGATACATTAAGACAAATTATAAATCAAGTTCTCCTTTTGGATCAGAGTAGTGTTTGAATGGTTAAATTCCATTCATTCATCCATCCATTCATTCATTCTTCAACCAAAAAGCCTTTATTAAATGCTTATTTGGACTAGGCATGATCCAAGGCTATGTTGGTACAGAAATAAGAAAGATAGGGTCCCTGCCCCAAAAGGGTCAGTTTCTACTACAGAGACCAGCAAGAAAACAAATCATTATGGAATAGTGTAACAGTGACCATATAACTCTGTTTGAGCCACAGGGTTAGTAGGGCAGGGAGAGAGATCTCAAAGGTAGCTACTAACAGAACTGCTCATGGCACTGTACTAACTGTGCTCAGTACACTGTGAAGGAGAAAGGAGGCTGGAGGAAATAACAACACCGGGATCTCAGGAACATGTGTTCAGTTTCCCTTTCTCTAGGGTAGACAACCATGCCACTCAGGGGGGCACATGGCCGAAATGCCCCACACTTCACGATAAAGCAAAACAGCAGAGACGATACAGAAACATAGATGTGTAGACATGAGAGACGCCTCCATTAGAATTACAGTCCTCATAGTGCTTCACCGCTGGAAGAAAAAGAGAGCTCTTTTACGAACCCCTAGCAATTCCCCCTGCACTCATCTGTCCCGAACACTGCCCTCTAATCAGCGCTTCTCAGACTGAAATGTGTGTGAGTCACCCGAGTCTTCTGACACAGTAGGTGTGACTGATGCTGCTGGTCTGTGGACCACACTTTGAGTGACAAAGCTCAGAGAGGTCTTTTTATTTATTTTTTATTTTTATTTATTTTTTCAGACAGTTTCACTCTTGTCGCCCAGGCTGGAGTGCAATGGCGCGTTCTTGGCTCACTGCAACCTCCGCCTCTCAGGTTCAAGCGATTCTCCTGCCTCAGCCTCCCGAGTAGCTGGGATTACAGGCACCTGCCACCACGCCCAGCTAATTTTTTTTTTATTTTTAGTAGAGATAGAGTTTAACCATGTTGGCCAGGCTAGTCTCCAATTCCTGACCTCAGGTGATCTGCCTGCCTCAACCTCCCAAAGTGCCGGGATTACAGGTGTGAGTCACTGTGCCCAGTCAACTTTTTTTTTTTTGAGATGGAGTTTCTCTCTTGTTGCCCAGGCTGGAGTGCAATGGCGTGATCTCAGCTCACTGCAACCTTCGCCTCCCGAGTTCAAGCGATTCTCCTGCCTCAGCCTCCCGAGTAGCAGGGATTACAGGCATGTGCCACCATGACCGGCTAATTTTGTATTTTTAGTAGAGACGGGGTGTCGCCATGTTGGCCAGGCTGGTCTCAAACTCCTGACGTCAGGTGATCTGCCCACCTTGGCCTCCGAGAGTGCTGGGATTACAGGCGTGAGCCACTGCACAGGCCGAGAGGTCTTTTTAAAATGCAAATCTGGTTCTATCATTCTATCATACAGGTCAGATCCTTTGAAAAGGCGAGAAGGCTCTCATAAACTGACCATTACCTCCCCTCCCCTCTCTGCACCCACCTTCCCCAATCATACTCTACGCTTCAGACAAACTGACTACCTGCAATTTCCAGAACACAGCCGCCTCTTTTGCCTTCTGGGTCTTTGCATATGCTCTTCTGCTTGAACATCCGTATCTCCCCATCTCTGTCCTGTCCCACCACCCACCTGCTAATTCTCACTCCTGCCTGCAGTCTCAGCTTCCGAGAAGCTTTCTGTGGCCACTCCAAGTCTGGATGAGACACCACTCCTCTCTATCACAGCCTTCTCAACAAACTACTGTCACGCCACTTTTCTCACCAAATTGTAAGAGACCTTCATACAGCCTCCATTGTAAATGAGGAGTCCCTTGTTTCAATTCCACCCTGTAATTCCAGTGCCTAGCACAACCTTTTACACATGATGGGGACACAATAAAGGTTTGAATAAATAATTAGTAGTCTAATCCAACCCTCTTGTTTTACAAATGAAATAACTGAGGCCTGGTGGGATTAAGGTCAAACAGCTAGTTAATAGAGGAGCTGAAATTAGCTGGTTTCTCCCACACACACACACACACACACACACACACAAAATTTGTAATCCAACCCTCTTGTTTTACAAATGAAATAACTGAGGCCTAGTGGGATTAAGGTCAAACAGCTAGTTAATAGAGGAGCTGAAATTAGCTGGTTTCTCCCCCACAAAAACATCTTGTGGATGCTCCAGGAAGAAGAATGGAAAGCTATTACTTGTGGGGCTGGGTACCTTCCTTCCTCCAAAGGATACGTGAAGGAAGAGAATATGTAAAACAGCTTAAATATTTCATGTGCTTTAAGGGCCAGGGAAAGAAGCCAGAGCTAAAAACTAGAAGATACCCCTTTCCAAACACTCTGCCCAGGGTCCCCACAACCAATCCAATCAATTGAAGGAATCTCTTCTCTTGAAAAAGACCAAATTAGTAAAGTGATTCCCAATGTTTCACAAGCAAGAATCCCTTTATTTACATTTGCATGTGGCCCCTGTGTTTGGAAATGTTTCATCTATAAACTGTACTTATTTAATAGTTATTTTCTAATTTTTGAAAAGTGAATCAGAATCATGTAGTACTGCCAATCAGATGTGATCCAATTATAATTGAACTTTGGTTTCAGGTGGGCTGTGCTCTTATTAGAGGTAAAATTTCTATTAGACTCTCGATTACAAAGAAAAATACAGTCACTCCTGAGCTCCTATTCTGTGCCAAACAGTGTGTTAGGCCCTTCCTGGAGGTGCAACAAGAGACAGATGAACAAGAGACAGGCTTTGCCCTCAGGAAAATTACAAACTCTTGGGAAGTGGAACCCTAAGTTCTTTAGGGGATATGAGCCGATGTAGCAGACTGCTTTGCAAAAGCAGTATCCCCAGGGCTGGCAGGGAGCCAAAATACAAGAAACAAATCTGGAAAAACTCATTCATGCATTCCAGGAAGAAAAAAGTCAACTGATGGAAAATGTTTATAATAATTAAATAATACACATTGTATAGGTTCCCGGGGCACCCGGGCAGCCTGCCTTTGAGAGGGCCATGAACTGGAGATCTGTATCTGCATGCTCCAACCTCCAGCAGGTATGCTGGGAAAGATATTACTTCAGCCTTGTTAGAAAAGTGTAAACTGATTCTCCCTAAGAATTTTGAAATTCACTCTCTACAAAACCACTGAAGGATTAAACACGGGTTGTCTCTCAAACCTTGGCACTCTCTCTCGGAGCTGAACTGTGGCATGGCAGGGAGAGGCTGTGGCATGGCAGGCGGGGAGGCTGCTGCCGTCTACACCCTACTCTGGCTCCTCGGAATGGCTTGGAACTCAAGAAGACTGCTCTGCCCTCTCCAGGTCATTGTGCCCAGAGGAGCCTGTTTCCTTCCCCACTCTGGGGGATAAAACACTTTCTAGTCAGTCCAGCTGTCTGTGCACAGTACTGTGGTCTGGTGTGTTTGCTAGGCCCCTTCCCTGTCATTTCCATGGCTCCAGTGAGCCCCCACCTCTCTGAGCTCTCCCACCTGTCAAGCCAGGAACCCATAACCTTCCTCTAACATCTCTCCCTTTCCTTCTTTGTCTTCCCTTCCCAATGGTCTAATAGGAATTGGCAAAGATTTTGAAAACCCTACTGAAGAAAAAGGAATCTGGTATTTTCCCGGTTTTTCATTCCTTTTCCAGTAAACAGTTTCATTTTCTTAAAGTTATTTTTCCCTCTAATGACTGTTTTGTCTTTACATAGAACTTGATATTTTCAAAGGCCTTGGCAATGGGTATTTATTTAAGTAATTACAAGAGGTTACTTATTTTCAAACTTGCCCACCATAAGATGACACCAAAATAGTAGCTGAGACATAGCCATTCTGTGTATAATTAGTTTTGCACTTAATAATTAATCTGCCTTAATTGAGACCCCACCTGACTTAAAATTTCAGAATTACACTCTGCGTGTGATTGATTTCCTTTTTCCCTCTAGCACCTATAATTTTCTGTTACATCATCACACCCAACAGAGGAGAGAGAAAAAGATGGCACATGAAAAGGATTAGGGGATCAGCCTCAAAGAAATGAAAATCTGACCCAAACAAACACAGAAGGAGGCAAAGGAAGCAGGCTGACATTTGGGGAGGTGAAAAAAACAAGACCCCAGCGATCCTCATGTTTTATCTTACCTTTTCAAATCAGTCCCTGTGATCTGCTCCCGGTGCAAAACTCCTTTCTGATTTCCACCATCAGCTACACCCCACCTCTCCCCTAAGCAGGGTCTTTGAAGTCCAGTCTCCCTAAGCTCTTGGCAGACACCAACATGGGAGGGGCCCTGCAGCATCTGTCACACAGCTCCTCACCCTTAAGTGTCAGCGACAACAGGAACTGCTGAGCACAGTCACGCTACCTCCACTCTGTAAGCACCTGAGAAACAATGCTGACAGGTCCCTGAAGGGCTTCCACACAAAGGTGTGTAAGAAAGAGACACACTGCTAGACACACGCACATGCCCTCCAAGCAGGGGGTAAGAAGTGCGTCATGAAGAGCATGCACGGGAGAGAGGAGCCGGGAGGCAGGCTGCCTGCAGTCCTCACAGCTGGTCACATAAGCACATGGGCAGTTACAGCTGGGCCTGGGTCCATGAGGACGTTGCTGGCCAGTTCTGGTTTATGACTGTCACACAAAGAAATAGCAGACCAATCAATTGATGTTTATTTATTGAATGTCGCCTTTTTCCAAAGAGGATTTACGGCGTGAAAGAATACAGGTGGGTTTGTGTGAGTGTCTGAGCCAACACTGATGGACATGTTTTTCTGTGCACACCACCTAGGGCCTTTCTTCATCCCTAGACTGACTGTGGAGAAAATGTACCCTCCCTGAACTGAGCCTTCCCATGACATGCACAGGAATGTGCGAGGGACCACTTTCCCCTCCCAGCCATTTACCCTGGGATTCTGCCACTCTGAGTCCCAGGTTCATGGCCCACCTCAGGCAAAGACTGTTCCTCCCTTCCCATAGAGACCCTTCACTAGTTTCTCTTTCACTCACACACATCTGGACACAAAGTGCCTGTGTCTTCATGGGCCAGCTGCGTGGGAAATGTCCTGTGCACACTCCTACATGCACATACACACTCCTACATGCACATACACACATCATACTAGGACGCTATTTTGACGTGTGCATCAGAAGTGAAGTTACAGCTGGCTGATGAGTGTGCACAGGCACACATGCACACTTCCTCATCCGGGTATTCCTCCAGCAGCACCAGTCACACCTTAACATACACCGTAACACACTCCCTCTGCTCTGCCAGTGTGTGCAGGAGCTGCTCAGCTATGACCTTATTTGACCCACCTTTGCAGACAGCCCTTCTCCCCGCCATTTCCATAGTGGCCGCCTGCCTCATGGGCTGTCACACCCCATGCCCACCTCCCTACACACCCCCTCCACTAAATCCCCGTCTGCGCTGGAAGCCATCAGGAGGCCCGTCTCTTTCTCTCTCAGGCAGACACATCCCTTTCACACCTGTGCCACACCCCCAGCCCGCCACGCACCCACACAGCCCGCCGCCCGGCGTGGCTGCTGAATGGAAACCACACATCTGAGTCTCACACCTCCCTCGTGTGTGAGCTGCGTGGGAGCCTCCCGCCGTGTGCTGTCACGGGCCTTCCGTGGCTGTACGCCCGTTTTTGTCAGCTCCTAATAGAGTCGCCCAGAACAGGAGAGAATACCCATTCACCGTGACACACTCACACTCCCTCCCGGCAACGCCACGCGTAAACAGCCACCCGCGCCTCAGCGTACCCGCCCCACACTCCGCAGGCGGCCCCTGGGACCTTCACAATGCGGCCTCCTCCCCGCGTGGCTGTCACACACGCCTCTTCCCCCGAGTGCGCAGGCACACAATGCACTCGCACACACACAAGCACACGCACACACATGCACACCCACACGTGCGCGCCCCCCCGGCCCGCGAGGCAGCAGCCTGCGCACCTGCCCCTGAGAGCCGCGGCGTGGGGGCCACGGTGCTGTGTCCCAGCTTCACCGCCGCGCCTTTGTCGGGGGTCGCCCGGCACGCCAGGCGCCCGCCGCGGCCCCCACGCACCCACTCCTCGTGCGCGTGTGTCGGGGCGGCGCCGCGGCCCGGCCGGGACACGCGCGCTCCCGGCGGCGCCGCACTCTGGCCCCTTTGTTGGCGGCCCGGGGAGCTGTCCAGCACCGCGCCCACGCCGCCGCCCGCCCTCCCGCGCTCGGGCCCGGAGCGCACTCACCCCCAACCAGCAGAAGCAGCAGCGGCGAAAGCAGCGGCGGCAGCCGGGCGGCCCGCAGCAGCCGGCCCATGGTGTAGCCGTCGCCGCCTGCAGCCGCAGCGGCGCGGCGCCCGGGCCCGCGTCAGGGGCCGCGCGGGCGGCGGCGGCGGCGCGCGCCCGCCCCATTGGTCCGCATGGCCGTCACTCACGCCCGGCCCCGCCCGGCCGCGTGCCGCGGGCGCGCCCCCGCGGAGACGAAGCGGACGCGCGGGCGGCCGTCCCTCCGCCCGTCCCCCCCGCCAGGCCGGCCAATCAGCACCGCCGAGGCTCGGGGGCTTGGCCCGGCCGCCCGCAGACCTGGGCCTCGCACCTCGCGCCCGGATGCCGCTCTCTCCCCGCGCGGTCACCCGTTCCCTGGGAAGCAGAGTGGGCAGCTGTGGCAGATGGGACTGATGGGACGAGGACGACGCGTGGAAATGACTGTGAGGGTGGACAGAGGCCTGGGGTAAGGAAAGACTTCTCAGGGTACTTAGATTGGGTGAGCCCTGAAGGAGAACCTGAGAGCAAAGAACTGGACTTTAGAGCTAGGCAGTCTGGCTCAGGATCAGATTGGTTCCGAGACCTTGAGTAAATCTCTTCTCACCTCTGGGCCCCACTTGCCCCATTTGCTAACTGGGGGGTTTTAGATTATGAGAGAGGTGCTGACTTCTCTAACATGTGCTCCCTTTTGGCAACTGAAGATCCTTAATATGCCAAGCACTGTAGTGGTAAATAAAACAGGCACATCCCTCGTCCTCATAGTTTAGGCTCGTAGAGAAAACAGACTGAAAAACAAAATGGACACACATATGGTCCTATGATTGCAATTGGTAGTCGGTCTGTTAAGGAGTATAAGGGGCTAGGAGACAGCACAGAGGGGAACCTTATGCTTGCCTTCCTGAAGAAACAGCATTTAAGGTAAGCTGGCTGGCATCTGGAAGGATGAGTGGGTATTAGGTAGGAGATTGGGTTTGGGAGAGAACTTACAAGGCAGAGGGAAAAGCTCACTGATAGAGTTCCTGAGTTAGAAAGAAGCTCAGCCTCTTTTAGGGAGAGAAAAACCCCGACTACCCTTTTAGAAGTACTGCAGCTTAAATATACAGCAACCACAATTTTGTGGAATGTTACTTTATATATACCATATTAGGAAAACACTTCTTTAAAATAACAAATCGTTATTTGAATATGCTTTTTCAAAGTATATCCCCACCCCCCTATGCAGGGGTATAGCATCAGACATTGGAGATAATCTCACGGGACTCTTCCAGACTAAATATTAATACTTAGGAGAAATAGGAGTTGGGGTGGAGGAGCATAGGGAAGAAATGGGTTCCAGACAAAAGAAAGAACATGAGCAAAATGTAGCACCTTTTATTTGGTGGGTGTTAGGGGTACTAGAAAAGTGGCTGTCAGCTGGGCTTGGAAAAGAGAAATCCAGGGTGTGTCTAGACCCAGCTTCCCTCTTCTTTCCTCCTCTGAGGATGAAAGGAGCATCCCTTTGGTTTTTTGTTGTGTTTTGTTTTGTTTTTCTGTTACAAGAAACAAAGATCTTAGAAGCAAACAAGAAATGGAAGGAAACGTCCTCAATTCCATTAAGGGTATCTCCCAGAAACCTTTATTATCATACTTAATGGTGAAACCATACTTAATGATGAAACATTAGAAACATTCTCTTTTAAGTGAATGGAACAAAATAATCCTCACTACCACCACAATGATTGAATATTCTATAAGAGACACTGCAACAAGGCCTGATAGAAGAAATGGGATGAAAGTATTGGGGGAAAACTCATTATTTGCAGGTTTATCTAGAAAATGCAAGATCATCAGTTGGCAAAATAATTGAAAACCAATGAGTTCAGCAAGATTGCTGAATAAAAGATAACGTACAGAAATCAATAGCTTTTCTGTGTATCCTCAATAACCACTTAGAAAATGTAGTAGGAGAAAAGATCGCAATCACAGCAACAATTATTAAAAACTGGAATAAACCAAACCAGATATGTAAGCTCCAAATGAAGAAAACTCTAAAGCTGCCAGGGGTGGTGGCATGTGCCTGGAATCCCAGCTACTTGGGGGAGACTGAGGTAGGAGGATGGATCACTTGAGGCTAGGGGTTTGAGACCAGCTTTGGCAATATGGTGAGACCCCCATCTCTAAGTAAATCAATTAGCCAGGTGTAGTGGTGCATGTCTGTAGTCCTACCTACTTGGGAGGCTGAGGTGGGAGGATCACTTGAGCCCAAGAGTTCAAGATCAACCTGGGCAACAAAGCAAGATGCCATCTCTATGAAAAATTTTAAAATTAGCCAGGCATGGTGGCACACACCTGTAATCCTAGCTACATAGGAAGCTGAGGTGGGAGGATTGCTTGAGCACAGGAGTTCAAGGCTGCAGTGAGCTATGATTGTGCCACTGCACTTCAGCCTGGGTGACAGAGTGAGACTCTGTCTCAAAAAAAGAAACAAAAATTTAAGTGAAGGCAATCCTCAGAATGGGAAGAAACATTTGGAAATCATGTATCTAGAATATACAAAGAATTTTTACAAGTCAGTAATAAAGACAACTCAATGTTTTAAAATGGACAAAGATCTGAATATACATTCCTCCAAATGTCAATAAGCACATGAAAACATGCTCAGCCTCATTAACCATCAGATAAATGCAAATCAAAACCACAATAAGAAACCACTTCTCAGGCTGGGTACGGTGGTTCACGCCTGTAATCCCAGCACTTTAGGAGGCCGGGCTGGGTGGATAGCTTGAGGTCAGGAGTTGGATACCAGCCTTGCTAACATGGCAAAACCCTGTCTCTACTAAAAATACAAAAATTACTCTGGCATGGTGGTGCATGACTGTAATCCCAGCTACACAGGAGGCTGAGGCATGAGAATTGCTTGAACCCAGGGGGTGGAGGTTGCAGTGAGCTGAGATCACACCACTGCACTCCAGCCTGGGTGACAAAGCGAGACTCTGTCTCAAAAAAAAGGAAACCACTTTGCGTCTCACTAAGGTGGGTGGCTAGAATTAAAAAGAGAGACCACGTGTTATATAGGATATGGAGAAAGAACCCTCCTCGTACACTGCTGATGGGAATGTAAAATGGTGCAGCTGCTTTGGACATAGGCAGTTTCTCAAAAGATTAAGCATAGAGTTACCATATGACTTCATAATTCCACTCCTAATACATACCTAAGAGCATAGAAAACATATGTCTAGTCAAATACATTACAGGAATGTTCATAGCAGCATTAGTCATAATAATCAAAAGGTGGAAACAACCCAAATTCTCATCAACTGATGAATGCATAAATAAAATGTAGCATACCCATACAATGGCATGTTGGTCAGCAATACAAAGAAAGTACTGACACATGCTACAACGTGGATGAACCTTGAAAACATTATTCTAAGTGAAAGAAGCCCATCACAAAAGACTACATATTATATGATTCAATTTTTATGAAATGTCCAGAATAGGTAAATCTTTAGCAATAGAAAGCAGATTAGTGGTTGCCTAGGGCTGGTGGGGAAGGAAGAGGAGTAACTGCTAATGGGTATGTTTTTTGGGGGAAGGGAGTGATGAAAATGTTTTAAAAGTGTGATAATTTGCACAACTGCAAATATGCTAAAACGATTGAATTGTACATTTTTTAATTAATTAATTAGTTTATTTTTGAGACAGAGTCTCGCTCTGTTGCCCAGGCTGGAGTGCAGTGGTGTGATCTTGGCCCACTACAACCTCCGCCTCCCAGGTTCAAGCGATTCTCCTGCCTCAGACTCCTGAGTAGCTGGGATTACAGGTGTGTGCTGCCACACCCGGCCAAGTTGTACATTTTAAATTATGTGGTATGTAAACTATATCTCAATAAACCTGTAAAAAACACAAGAATACCCAAGCTCACATTTTATCTTGTTTTTTTTTTCTTTGAGACAGGGTCTGGATCTGTCACCAAGGCTGGAGTGCCAGGGCACCACCATAGCTCACTGCAGCCTCGCTCTCCCAGGCTTAAGTGATCCTCCTGCTTCAGCTCCTGGAGTAGCTGGGATTACAGGTTTGTGCCACCATGCCCAGCTAACTGTTGTTATTTTTTTGTAGAGATGGGGTCTCACTATGTTTCCCAGGCTAGGCTCCAGTGATCCGCCCTCATTGGCCCCCCAAAGTGCTAGGATTATAGGCATGAGCCACCTTGCTGGCGTAAATTATCCTTAATATACAAACACACACACACACACGTATGTACACACACATTATGTAATATCGGTATGTTTTAAATGTTTACATATATGTATCACATCTTGTTTTTTCACTCATAATTATCTTTCAAATTAATCCATTAATAAATTCTATCGCATGAATAAAAAAAATCTAATTTTCCAGTCTTAGAGTAAACATCAACGGAAAAGCCTCACTGTGGTCCTGTATACCTTGTTGGCTGTCCCATTTCACACGCCCCTTGGAGCCAAACTTCTCACGCGTTTTCTCCATGAGCAGTTTCTACCTCCTCACCTCCTGTTTATTCTATCCGCACTCCAACCTGGCTTCCACTGTCACCAAGGGATTGAAACTGCTGGACGAGGCTACAGCAACTCCCACATTACCACAAAGCTTGTATTTCAAAGGTGCACATCTAAACTGGGATGTCTGGCCGGGCATGGTGGCTCACACCTCTAATCCCAGCACTCTGGGAGGCAGAGGTGGGTGGATCACCTGAGGTCAGGAGTTTGAGACCAGCCTGGCCAACATGGTGAAACCCTATCTCTACTAAAAATACAAAAAAAAGAAAAAATTAGCTGGGCATGGTGGCACAGGCCTATAATCCAAGCTACTCAGGAGGCTGAGGCAGGAGAATTGCTTGAACCCTGGAGGCGGAGGTTGCTGTGAGCTGAGATCGTGCCACTGCACTCCTGGGTGACAGAGCAAGCCTGGGCGACAGAGCAAGACTCCGTCTCTAAATAAATAAATAAATAAAAAAAGGACATCTGAAGGTTGATGACATCATTATAAATGTTTACATTTTTTCCTCAGAAGCACATAAAATGGTGATTCTTATCTTCAATGGCATCTTATATTCAATGAAACATGGTAGTGGGCAGGTTTGTCATTTCACCTGATCTTTCAGCTACGTTGGCCAACTGACCTCAATCTTCTGGAAATTTCTTCTTCTCCTGGCTTCCACAGACACCCTTCTCCCCTGGTTTTTCTGCCACATTTTCCTCCTGTCTCCTTTGCTGTTTCAAATGATGGGTGTCACGTAGCCTTCCAGATCATTTTTTTTTTTTTTTTGAGATGGAGTCTTGCTCCGTCGCCCAGGCTGGAATGCAGTGGCACGATCTCGGCTCACTGCACCCTCTGCCTCCCAGGTTCAAGCAATTCTCCTGCCTCAGCCTCCCAAGTAGGTGGGATTACAGGCGCACACCACCATGCCCAGCTAATTTTTGTATTTTTTTAGTAGAGACTGGGTTTCACCATGTTGACCAGACTGGTCTTGAACTCCTGACTATGTGATCCGCCCACCTCAGCCTCCCAAAGTGCTGGAATTACAGACGTGAGCCACCGCACCCAGCCTGGATCATTTCTCTGTGCACTCTGGGGGTGATGGCACTTAGCCCCACAGTGGCAGCTATGATGACCGCTCCTCATGCCCACACCTCTGCTCAGTGGTCGACTCAACCTGCCTGCAGACTTCACATTTCTACTTGGATGTCTAAAAGGCCTGTCTAGCCAACATGTCTGAAATGAAACTCCTGGCTTTCCCTACTAAACTTCAACCTATTTCCCCAGCCACAGACCTGGTCATCCAGGGTTTTTCCTTTTTGCCCTACCCCTACATCTTACTCATCACTACATCTTGTCTAATCTACCTGCAAAATACACCTATGTCCACTTTCCCCCATCTCCATCACCCAAGTCTCCACTCTTCCGTCCTTTCTCCTCTCAGTATGATTTGGTGGCCAGCCAGCTCTCCAAGACCACTGGACCACTGCTGTCCTGAACACCCTCTTGCTGGCTGCCTGCTGTGGCAGACTAGAGCCTCCTTAGAGCACAAGTCCTGTGTGACCTGCCTGACTCTGGCCTCAATCCTTGCCCTGCCCTATGCTTCAGCCCATTTTCCTGTGGCTGGCACCTTTTCCTTTAAAAAGTAACTCCAGGCTGAGCATGGTGGCACAGGCTTGTAATCCCAGCACTTTGGGAGACCAAGATGGGAGGATCGCTTGAGCCCAGTTCAAGACCAGCCTGGGCAACATAGTGAGTGAGACCTCATCTCTACCAAAAACTTAAATTAGCCAGGCGTAGTGGTGTGTGCCTGTAGTCCAGGCTACTCAGGACGATTGCTTGAGCCCGGGAGGTCGATGCTGCAGTGAGCTGATTGCACCACTGCACTCTAGCCTGGGCGACTGAAAACTTACTTCAAAAAAAAAAAAGTTCAAGAAGGGAAAACTTGGACAAGACAGATGTCAGAACCCCATCTGGGAACTGCAATCCCTCCGGCAGCCCATCAGCTGAGGCTGATGAGGTCCCTCCGGCACCTCATCTCTGGGTGAGGTGGTGGATGGTACTGCCCCACTGTGGGGTAGGCTACACCACCTCTAGTCCTATACACGTCTAACTAGGATTTCCATGGATTCCACTTAGATATCACAGAGGCAGTGACTGCAAACCAAGTTCAATGGGGATATCTATATCATTTTTGCTTTCTCTACATCCACAAACAAAACAGCTTTTTTAACCCGACCTACCTCCTACAGAACTCTGAACGGAGAAGGTGGAAAGGGCCTTCAGCGGAAGTCCAGGTTACTTACTAAAGCGGAATGGAAGCCAACAGATACCAGCGTTTATATTTTATTCAACTTTATTAAAAATTAAAACTACAGAAACCAAACCGAATGCACAAATAAGAGAGTGGGGAAACAGACAGGGAGCAATGGCAGCTGATAACTGTGGCGAGTGGATAATCCGCATGACTCACATCCCACCCCTGCGACTGAGGAGCCCAGAACGCTGCGCTGGCACTGTCGTGCCCTCTTCCACCACAGGGGCACAGAAACCTGCAGGAGACTGAAAACGATTACAAACATCTTCAACCAGCTCTCTGGCCAAAGGCAGCAAAAGCAGCCTGAATACGCAACTCACGCCAAGAGGGCAGCAGCTCTCCTGACATCCATGTAAGAAGGCTAACACCTAAACCACACGCAGGCATCCTGAACTCAGCAGCTCTGATCCAAGGTACTGAGTGGAGACAAAGCACTCGGAGGTGGCAAGATGTTCAGCAACCAAGTAAGACACACTGGCAAGGCATCCCACCCAAAGGTGAGAAGCACAAAGCAGGCTTGGAGAAACAAACAGTCATGCCAGGTGCAGCCAGACATCCTGCTATAAGCCCTGACCCTAGTACCCCGAGTTCATCAAGTGCTCTGGTTTTGTGTCCATAAAGCACAGAGGGCACTGACCACCCCAAACCAGAATCCCAAGGAATCCTTATGGATGGCATAGGGCCTCAGAACTGCTGCAGGATCATTTTCCTTTTCAGGTCGTGGCTGAACTTGTTCATCCTGAAGAGCTCACTGTCAT
This sequence comes from Homo sapiens, assembly GCF_000001405.40. NCBI lineage: Eukaryota > Metazoa > Chordata > Mammalia > Primates > Hominidae > Homo > Homo sapiens. The sequence continues at coordinate 127,621,699 of NC_000003.12, read as the reverse complement.
AAAATGCAGAGAGGTTGTGGATGTTGATCTGACGAGCCTGCAAGGAGGAAGTGTCCAGTGAGCCATCAGTGGTGTGAGAACAGGCTGTTTCCAGAGCGCCCCAGTTACAGTGCACTTTCAGACACCATCACCTCCATTTATGGGAGGAAAATATCCAGGGGTGGAGAGGCCGATTAAGGGGCTTCAAATCTCTGCTGTACAAGCTGTGCGTGTAAACTGAGACAAGTTACTTGGCTGCCCTGTATCTGTCTCCACCTCTGCACAACAGGAAGGCAGTAACAGGACTCACCTCACTCCCCTGCTGTCAGACTACAGGCACAGAACTGGACTCAACAGACTGTAAGCATTCAATAAATGGCTGTCAACCAAGGCCCACCCACTTCATGACCCATTATGATGGAGCCCCCATCAGGAGACTGGCAGCTCCCAAGTCAGCATACCCCAACCCTCACCTCCCTTCCGGGCCCATACCTTATCCACCAAGTCCTTCTCAGGGACCTCAATAGTGTCCTGCTGGGCCCCAAAGCGGTTGCGCTGATATGTCACCTGCTCTGCCACTAACTGCTTCAGTATGAAGAGCAACAGCTCATTGTTGTCACGCCGGAATGAAAGGTAGCGGGCAAAAGTCTGCAGGAAAAAAGCCTCAGTCAAACACCCGCTCCCACTACGCCTGCCACACTCCCTTTACCCTACGTGCCAGCACCCAGGTCAGACAGGCTGCCGCTCCTGGGTGCACGTCCAGGCCAGAGCCCTGGATACCCACGTGTGGCCTCCTTCACTGAGCTTGCCCATCAGGCCCCTACCTCGGAGCACACCCACCTTGCGCATGCTGCGCATGACGCTGAACTTCTGTGTGTCTATGAAGCTCTCCAGCATCACGCGGATGGCCATGTTGACGTCGTCTTCGATCACATAGTCCCGCAGATGGATGCGCGCGTGGGCCTCCGCCATGCGGATCATGGACTCGATGTGCCGCACCGTAATGGGGATGCTGCCTGTCGCCTGGAGAGAAGCACAGTGTCAGGTCTTTCACGGGCAGGAAAGAGAAGCAAGGAAAATAAAGCAGCGGCACTCTTAGCACCCAGAGCCAAGAAGACCCATCTGACAGTGCCCCAGCAGAAATGCAGAATGCTTGACTGCGCTGCCCAGTGAATGCACACTTCCTATCCCTCCTGGAAATCAGAGGATGCCAGTGGATGCTGCATGCTTACGGCCTGTCACCATCACACCTGCACAGTTCTGCTCCCACCAGCTGACTTCTGTGCATCTCAGAGGCTGTTGTATTTGTGGCCAGCTGTATTGGTTATTGTCACACACTAAATATTGAATAATCCTGTACAATGTAAGTGCAAAAAAAGGTCGTTGTTTGTAGGAAAACTAAATTGAATGATCTGAAAAAACTTGGTAAAGTTAAAAGGCAGAAATTTGAAAAGCTGCTGTGTTGACTGGGTGTGGCTGAGGCAGCAATCTACAAGGACTCGGCATTCCCATGGCTTGCAAGCTGCTTTAAGTTTCCATTCCACTATGAATGAGCCAAAGACCTTGTGTTCATTAGAGTGAAATTTACACAAAGTCAATATGGAACTTAATAAGCACATCAACAATTAAGGCCTTGGCCCTACACTGAGACAAATGAATGCACATTTAAATTTCATCTAAAACAAAATGGTTAAGGTATATATTAATACCTATCATTTAAAAAAATATTTTTTTTTTGAAACAGGGTTTCACTGTGTCACCAAGGCTAGAGTGCAGTGGTGCCATCATAGCTCACTGTAGCCTCGAACTCCTGGGCTCAAGTAGATCTTCCTTCCTTAGCTTCCTGAGTAGCTGGGACTACAGGCACAAACCACCAGGCCCAGCTAAGTTTCAAAACATTTTTTGTAGAGAAAGGGCCTCACTATGTTGCCCAGCCTGGTCTTGAACTCACCTCAAGCAATCTTCCTGCCTTGGCCTCCCAAAGTGCTGGGATTACAGGCATGAATCACTGTACCCAACTTTCATTTTTTGTTTTTGTTTTTGAGATGGAGTCTCACTCTGTCACCCAGGCTGGAGTGCAGTGGTGCGATCTCAGCTCACTGCACCCTCCGCCTCCCGGGTTCAAGCGATTCTCCTGCCTCAGCCTCCTGAGAAGCTGGGATTACAGGCATGTGCCACCACACCCGGCTAATTTTTGGGTTTCACCATGTTGGTCAGGCTGGTCTCAAACTCCTGACATCGTGATCCTCCTGCCTCGGCCTCCCAAAGTACTGGGATTACAGGCGTGAGCCACTGTGCCTGGCACCTACATTTTTTTTTTAATGCCTCCCTGCTCTGGCACCTTTTGGCCTGACTGACCACCACCCCCGCTGCATTGGTCAGAAGGCTCACACTGCACTTCCTTCTCTGCATAGCACCTCCCGGCTCTGCCTGGGCTCTCACCATAGATTCTTTCCTCAGGTCACTGTACATCTTGGCCACCTTGTCCTGGTCCATCTGGTTGAGCTTCGGGTGGACCCTCTCCTTGGCGTAGATGATGTACTTCTTCAGGACCTCCTGGGGCAGGGGCTCCACGCCATACGTGTTGGGCATGGCGGGCTCAGCAGCGCTGCCATTGGCCAGCCCCTCCTCCTCCTTGTTGCTGGGGTGGTGTCTGACGTGGCTGCCCACCACGAAGCGGGCCAGCATCTCGTCCTAAGATAAGCCATGAGAGGGTGGGTCTGATTGTGGGTGTGCGTGGCTTTGGGGAGGTCAGTGGCTGGAGAAGGGCTGAGTGTGCCCTACAAGGGTGACACTCTTTCAACAAGACTGACTACACTGACCATGTGCCAGGCAGTTCTGGGTGTGGGTGGCAAACCAGACAATGGGACAGAGTCCCCACAGGGCTCATCTCCACAAGGGGACAGGAGACAAATAGTCTTAAAAATTAATTATGGAAAGTAATGCTCAGAAGAAAAATAGAGTGATAGGATCAAGGGACCAAGGAGATGCCTCTAGCTAAGGGTGCCCGGCAAAGCCCCTCCCTGAAAGACAGGGAGCTGAGATGACGACAATGAGATGCAAGTCATGTGACAGTGTGGGAGAGCGTCTGCCAGGAGCAAGGAGCACAATCAAGCCCCAAGGCTCGGCCCTTTTGAGAGAGAAGGGCAGGTGCAGGTGCAGGTGAGGGAAGGGAGCGAGGAGGAGGTAGCTGCAGAGATGGCGGGTGCGGGCCGGAGGGGAGGACCCTGGATTCTATTCTGATGACAGCAGAAAGCCTCAAGCAGTTGTTAAGGACGGGGCTGATCTGATTTATGCCTTCAACTGGAAGACAGTCTACATGGGTGCCAGGAGGCCAGTTCAGATGATGGTAGTGCCTCAAGTCAGAGGCAGAAGTGAGGGAGGTGGGTAGGCTCAGGAGTTGGGACAACAGGATTTGGTGGATTGTGGGTTATGTAGGGTGGGGGTCGGGGGTGCTGTGAAGGAAAGAGAAATCAGGGCGACTTCTGGACATGAGAAGAGACCGAGGGAACAGGACTAGAAAACAGCCTATGGCCCCTGCAGCACCTGTCCCCTGTGTTGGGCACACTGTATGACCCCAAGCCTCACCTGAGGTCCCCAAACCACAGTTCATGGAAACCGGGCACATGTGAGCTATACCTGGACTGGGTCCACGGTGTCCCTCACCACACACAGGATGTCAAAGCGTGAGATGATGGGCTCTGTGAGGTCCACGTTCTCAGAGAAAGTCAGCGAGGGGTCGTAGCGCCCTCCTGAAACACAGGGGAGCACCTCCATCAGGGTGGATTCCCCTATCCTCCCATCTCAGGGACCCCAGGCTGCTCTGATGGCAGAAGGGGATGAGGGCAGTGGAAGAGGAAGACATAGGTGGGTACTTAGCACCTGCTGTCTGAGACAGCAAAGAGCTTACCCTAACCAGGGCCCAAAATAGCCTAATTTAGACAGAAAGCATAACTGCTTCCCCAGGAGGAAAAACCAAGAACACAGTGGGTGACAGAGCCTGGGTTCTTTTACGCATTCGCTGCTGAGACCAACAGCCAACTCCATCCTGGCCAGAGGGGCACTGGGCTCTCCTCCCATGCCTTCTGAGAACATCCAAGGTGATTCCAGGAACATGACTCAACAGGAAACCCAGGTGTCCCAGGTCCCACTTTCACTGTTCCCCACTCTGGCAGGATATGCAGAAGAGGGGAACCCTCTGCTGCACAATGACTTCCTCAGATCGGCTCCTGGGGACCCCGTGGGCTCCCAATTCAAGCAGGCGGGACCTCCCTGTGTCCCACCCCAGCCCCAGCAGTCAGGGTGCCTGCTGCACCTATGGGGTTGGCGGCAGCAATGACCGTGCAGCGAGCCTGCAGGGAGGTGACGATGCCAGCCTTCGAGATGGAGATGCTCTGTTGCTCCATGGCCTCATGGATGCTGGTTCTGTCCTGGTCATTCATCTGCAAGATTAAAATGGCCCACCCTTAGCATGGTTCACGCCCCTACTACTAAGTCTCCGATGAGGTCCCAATGGACCCCATTAACACCATTCCCGTCGCTAAGGCCCAAGCCCACACACACCCCCTGAGTTCCACCAGCCTCCGTGACCCAGGGACCCACCTTGTCAAATTCATCAATGAGACACACTCCTCGGTCAGCCAGAACCAGGGCCCCAGCCTCCAAGGTCCACTCCCTGCTGACAGGGTGCCGCTGGACATACGCCGTGAGGCCCACAGCCGACGCCCCCTGGCCAGTGGTGAAGATGGCTCGGCTGGACACTTTCTCAATATACTTGAGAAACTGCGACTTCGCTGTGCCAGGGTCTCCGCACAAGAGCACGTTGATATCACCACGTACCTTGTGCTTGCCACCTGGAGGGGATGAGTAGAAGCGGGGGAGGGGGAGAGTGGGAAGTGAGAGGAGGAGGGCACAGTTGCATCCCCCACCAATTCCTCAACCTACTTGTTAGGAATGGTAAGGCACAGTCCCTCTAGAAAGGGATACAATGCCCTACGCCATGCAGTCCCACTCTGGGCACTCCCAGGGAAACACACACGGGTGCAGAGGAGGGTTGCACGAGATGTCCTTGGCGAATGTGAAATATCAGAAACAATCTAAGTGTTCTCCAAAGGGAGAGCTAAATAAACTGCGTTATCTGGTGGCATGATAGTCATTTAAAAGAAGGCAATTGCTCTGTATGCACTAACAAGAAAAGATGCTGCAGTGTGGCACTGAGCGGGAGAGCTCGGTGGGATGCACTGCGCACAGGCACAGCACTGGGCACACACAGGGGACGCTGCGCTTGTACAAATAAACACGTGTAGTCATGAAACCCTGTGGTTGCTGTGTAATTGTAAATGGCCACAAAGGGAGGGACTAGGAAGAGAAGTGGGGGTCAATGGGGAAATCAGCCTCACCCATGACTTTTAGTGTTCTATAAAAGTGTAATATAAATACAAACTCATGTGTCAATAGTATTTTTGTACTTAAAACAGGTTTTTAAAAGACAAAGTATTTTTTACATAGAAGAGAAGCAAAGACTCATTTGCTTAAATCACAAAAGCAGGCAGACACTGGCTCCCTGACCAACAGCCCAACACCCAGAATGCCCAACTCAGGGCCACCCTCTCCCTTGAAGAATGAGTCACGCCCAGCCAGACCATCTTTTAATGCATTCTTTCTCCCCAGCACCCAGGCTTTAAAAACACTGTGTCCTTCTTTGAATGCTGGCTCCCCAAAGAGAAAGCTGCTAACACCCCTGCAGAGGAAAGGTGGGTGCTCACCTGGGTTTTTGGGCTCCCCTCCGAACAGGGCCAGAGCCAGGCCTCTCTTGATGTCTTCATGACCATAGATGGAAGGAGCAATGCTGGCAAAGATCTGAGAAAGGGAGGGAGACCGACAAGAATGGGAACAGATACTCACAGAGTAGGTCACCCACATGCTCTGGCATCAGGGAACCACGACATCCCCAGCTCAAAGACACCCACTTCCACAGCTGCTGCAACTGCATCAGGCCCTGGTATCAAGCCGTGCCCGACTCTAAAGCTTTTCATTAGTTGGCTCTTCCCAAGAGTCACAGAACTTTGGAGTTTAGAAGAACCTTCATCTGAACCCCTAATCTTGACATATTTCAGAAAGGCCTTTCCCAAGATCACAGACCAAGAGCAGAAATAAGACCAGAACCAGGTCTGTCATGGCACTGGCCTACCTCAAGCCTCAGTTTCTTCATATGGAAAAGAGAGATGGCAACATCCAACTCACAGAAGGGTGGGTACAAATGCGACAGTTCATGCAAGTGCCTGCCTCGTCAATGCAATAAATGTGGCACATCTGGGAGATGTGTCCACCAGGAAGTAATTCCAACTAGTGAGTCACTGGAACATTTCTATTTCAGTGTGTGTGTGAGAGAAAGAAAGAGACAGGGAGAGAGCAAAATCTTCATGAATTTTAGATAGAATTAGAGACATCAAAGACATTTCTTGCTTGTAGGAGACTGCTTCCAACTCCACCTGCAGCAGAGCCATGTTTTGATAGCTTTCAGCCTTCATACCCCCCTGCACTGGCCACACCCACATCCTTCCCTCCTTGTAGGACAGACAAAGAAGCTCAGAAAGCACTGGCCCTCGCCTGGGGAGAGGGGACTAAGGCAGGAAAACCAGCCCTGAAGGTGGAGGGGAGACACCCCCATCAGGCTGCATCCTGTATGTCCTGCCTGCACCATCAAATTCATGCAGCTTTAGAGGTGTCTCTAACTCCTATCTCCCTCTGAAAGCAAGTAACACTTCCCACGGGGCTTCTTGGAGAAATGTCCAATTCCAGGTCCGGGGCTGGAAATGTACAAGAGAAGCCTGCAATATCTTCTACCAGAAAGCAAAAAATCACTCAAAGACAACCAGGGTCATGTCAACAGAACTCAGGAGCCAACATGAATAGGTTCACGCTGGCAAAAAAGGGACACTTGAGCATTGTAGGGATGACACCTGCAGCGTGGAAACCTCAACACCCGGCGGGCCTATTTGTCTGTTATGATACCCAGGTCACCTGGGAACCAATTCATTATTTTTAAAACTAGTAAGTCAAAGAAAATAAGCAGGCATTTACCTGACTAGGCTTCAGTGCCTGACTGCCAAATTACAGAAAACACAGGTGACAGAGGTGTGTGTCTAATGGGGACATAATTAGCAATATCTCGACTGCAAGGCTCAACAGAACAAATGACCCAGTTTCTTCCACAAAAAATTACAAGGAAAAAAGAGATGGAGAAAAGATCTAAAGATTATGAGACTTAAGAGATATCAACCAATCACAACTTATGGATCTTATTTGGATAATGACTCCAAGAAGCTGTAAAAAACAGGGGGAAGGGGTAAGATAATCAGGGAAATGTGAACAACAACAGAATATTGGATATTAAGGAATTGTTAATCACCTCTTAAAGTGAGATAATGGTATTGTGGCTAGGTTTATTCAAAGAGAGTCTTTTCTTTTTCATATACATACTGATGTAGTTACAGAAAAAAACGGCATGCCTGGAATTTGCCTTGAAATATACCAAGGGTGAATGGGTGGTGTATTAAGAACACTCGATTGGCTGTGACTATGACAGCTGTGGAAGCTGGGTAGAGTGCTACAGTTTGAATGTACCCCCCAGAAAGCATGTGTTGGCATCTTAATCCCCCATTTAACAGTATTAAAAGGTGGGACCTTTAAGGGGTGATCAGGCCATGAGGGATCTGCTCTCATGAATGGAGGATAAAAGCACTGCTATCCAGGGAGTAGGTCCTTGTAAAAGGATGAGTCTGGCCCCCTCTGGGCTCTCACTCTGTCTCTTTAACTCTCACCTTTTTGCCATGGGATGACATGGCAAGAAGGCCCTCACCAGATGCCAGCCCTCAATTTTGGACTTCCAGCCTCCAAAACCATAAGTCAATAAATTTCTGTTCATTATAAATTACCCAGTCTATGGTATTCTGTTGTAGCAGCAGAAAATGGACTAAGACAAATGGTCAAAGTTCACTACACCATTCTACATACCTGTTTGAAATTTTCTGTAACAATGTTTTAAAATGTGGGCCAGGCCTTATGTAACACAGAGTGCCCATGGAACTCACAATAACCAAATAAACTCACCAACTGTTGGCACAATACAGTCACTGGGAGCATGGACTCAAGCCAGGCTGCTGACTCTGCCACTTGCTATGTGACTATGGCCAACTTATCTAACCTTTTGTGCCTTAGTTTATTCATCAGTAAAACAGGCAGAGATGAAACCTCACAGGAACATTGCTATCTAGAAATTACCTAGACAATGCCAAGCAGATACTAAGTCCTCAGTAAGTATAATGACTCTCTTATGAAACTCTTACTTTGTGCTGCAGATGCTGGGCAGACCACTCCACGGACCTCTCATGCCCCAACACACCTCGTGCTGGATGTGCCAAGACTGCCAATCCTTGACTCCTCTTAACCCAGCTCATTTCCCCGTATAATTTTTGTAGCGAGCAACCTTGCAGGATGAGGTAATGTCTCCCTCCAGGGCCAAGAGCTTCCTGCTTGCTATGCAGGGCAGATTGCCCAACTCAATCCCCCTCCTGTAAAGCAACCACTGCATCCAGGGGGACTTCCCTGTGGGACTGGAGGGCAAGCAGCGCAAATGTGTGAATGCCTACACTGCCTGCTGTGCCTTCCACCGCTGACCCAGTTACTCCAGGAGAGAGTAGCAGGCTAATTTAATGGCTGGAAAGTGGGGCAGAATCAAATCCCAGACCTGCCAGGGAATAACAGCGCTTTCCATGAATTACCTCATGTAATCCTCATAATAACCTTGTTTCTCTCGATCCTACAGAGGAAACCAAGGCTCAGGTCAAAATATTTTCTCCTAGAGGAGAGGCAAGACTCGACCCCAGATGCATCTGAATCCAAAGCTCATGCTCCTCCTGGCTCTAGGTGTGCTGCTTCCTAGCACTCCTCAGTCTCCGCACCCAGCAAACAGGGATAGAGTGCCCACCTGAGTGGGTACTGTGAGCTCCACCCAGCAAACGGAGAAAAAGCACCCACCTGCATGGGTACCATGAGCCTGAGATAATGTGTGTAAAATGCCTAAAGCATCAGGCTCAAAGCTATTTTTGTCCTACCTACTGGCTGCTTATGCTTTCTACACGCCTGTCACAGGCTCTTCCATCCAGTTTTTGTACAAATAGTTTAACTTTGGTAGCCATGTACAGTAACAGCCAGATACTGAGCACTCGCCAACAGCCAAGTACTTTATATGCACTAATTTATTTGATCTTTATAACAACTCTATGAGTGTTTACTCTCATCCTCTCATTTCTATAGATAAGGGTGACTCATCTGACCATCCTAAGGATTAGGCCAAAATTCAAACCTAAAAAGTCTGGCTTCAGACTGCATGCTGCTTCTGTTAGTTCTTTAAAATCTCTAAGTGTTGGGCATGACCCTGATCTCTTTAATACTTTACCAGATCAGTGTCCAGGGCCCACGGAAGGCAGGCAGGGCCATGAAACTGACAGAGTAGGGGACGGGGTAAACCTGGGGACACAGGCCCTACCTGCAAGGGCAGCTATGCCTCAGCTCCGTCAGCGTTACCAGAGAGGAACACAGAGCCAGCACCCACAGATCTTGGATTTTCAAAAAGCATCCGGATTTCTATGTGAAGTCTCCGGATCCCTCAAGGATGATAACTAACTCAAAATAAAAACAAATACAAAAAGTCAGCTGTTGGCCGGGCGCGGTGGCTCACGCCTGTAATCCCAGCACTTTGGGAGGCCGAGGCGGGCGGATCACGAGGTCAGGAGATCGAGACCATCCCGGCTAAAACGGTGAAACCCCGTCTCTACTAAAAATACAAAAAAATTAGCCGGGCGTAGTGGCGGGCGCCTGTCGTCCCAGCTACTTGGGAGGCTGAGGCAGGAGAATGGCGTGAACCCGGGAGGCGGAGCTTGCAGTGAGCCGAGATCCCGCCACTGCACTCCAGCCTGGGCGACAGAGCGAGACTCCGTCTCAAAAAAAAAAAAAAAAAAAAAAAAAAAAAAAAAAGTCAGCTGCAGAAGCCTGCAGGGCTTCCTGCTGGAGATGGAATCTGCAGAAGACAGAAGTCAGCTGGGGACAAGTGAGGGAGAAGGTGCTCTATGTAGACACAAATAGCAGGCATCAAGACACGGGAGCGGGGTAGGGCTGCCTCCATTTGGGGAACAAGTCGTTTTGGAACCTGGGGCTCCAGAAGCACATGGGGATGGCCCGGGCAGATGCCTTATTAGTGCCCAGGCATGCCATGCCCGCCACACGCTCACCTATGGGTCTCTCACCTCTTCAATCAACAGAGTGGGAGATTAGTGGCTGAAGCTCAAGGCAAAGGAAGAGAAGGTGCCAGAAGAGAGTTCCTCAAGCATGCAGCTCCTTTGGCGTGGTAGGCACAGACACAGATAATCATGTGGGACACAGGTGGCCCGGCTGCTTAGGGACTGTAAGACCCCAGCAGGGCCAAGTCCACCCAAGCCTGAAGAAATTAGCTCAAACATCTGGATGAAATTCTGCAAAGGTGTCCACTGTGGTAGCACTCATGAGCCTCTGCAGGTGGTGAGGGTAGAAGGCTGGGAGGTCCTGGCTTTCTTTGCCTGTGTGACTGTCTTCCTCGCATGTAAAACTACATGAAAAGATCTTGTCTATTTCCTATTATTGGGAACCCTAGTAAAATATGAGCTCTGAGGGCAAGGGTCATGTCTGACTTACTCACCATTGTATCCCTACAACTTGGCCCTAGGAGGTCTTCCAGGAACCAATGTGTGTTGGCTGAACTGAAGCTCCTGGCTTCCTGACGCTGAGAAACACCCACCTCTCCTATGGGAACCCCAGATCTTCGCAGACTAGGTTCGATGGCCAAGAGCTGGGAAGGAATGGCACCAATACCAGCCTCTGCCAGGGATGCATTTCTGGAGCTTTCCTGAACAATGACAGTAACATATAAGCCCACAAATGCTGGATGCTTTGCCCCTACTGGGTTTGCGTCTAGCCTGCAGCAGCTTCTCACGGTGGATGCAAAGACACGCAATACACTTGAGAAAAGGAACCGAGACACAAAACTACCCTGCCTACTTGGAATACACGCCTCAAGGAGTAAAGAAAGGAACAGAACAAACCATGCATGTGTAGGAATATTAAGTGGCAGGCAGACATGGGTAAATGTGATGCGTGAGGAGGAAAAGGAAGGGGCAACCATAGCCGTGCCTCAGAGGAACCAAGAAAGGGGGCTCCACAGGCTTCAGGGGAAGGTGGATGGAGAGAAACAACCAAAACAAATCAGCTAACCTGCAGCCTGGACACAGCTCTCCTTACCCCACCATCCATTCCTTCAAAATTACTCAGGGCCTCCTGCAGCCAGGCCCTGGAGACAGAGGTGATTAAGCCAGTGATGGCTCCTGTCCCTGGGGGGTTTACATACGTCAGAAGGAAATCACCCAGTTCACTGAAGAAGCCAAATGGGAACTGAATTTTATCTTGCCAGAGGGCAGAAGAGTGGAGGTTAAAGGGCGAACTAAACTGCTCTGCATTAAAAACTGAAGTTCAAGTTGACTTGAAGGCCGGGCGTGGTGCCTCACACCTATAATCCCAGCACTTTGGGAGGCTGAGGCAAGCGGATCACCTGAGGTCAGGAGTTCGAGACCAGCCTGGCCAACATGGTGAAATCTGTCTCTACTAAAAATACAAAAATTAGTCAGGTGCGGTGATGTGTGCCTGTAATCCCAGCTACTCGGGAGGCTGAGGCACAAGAATCGCTTGAACCCAGGAGGCAGAGGCTGTAGTGAGCTGAGATCATGCCACTGCACTCCAGCCTGGGTGACAGAGAGACTCCATCTCAAAAAAAAAAAAAAAAAAAAAAAAAAAGGAAGTTGACTGAGAAACAGAGGAAGGAAGGAAGAGAAAGGGGAGAGCAGCGAGCTTGAGAACACACGGTGCTCTGGGGGCAGGATGGAGGTAATGTGGGAGAAACAGCAAAGGGTTTTTATCAACAGAAATTTAACGTTCTGTTTAAGTAATCCGTATTTCTGCAACATAAATCCCCATCTCCTCATCCTTCAGTAAGGATGTCTATACTAAAAACCAACTGCCCAACTGCCTGGGCACAAGGGCTCACACCTGTAAGCCCAGCACTTTGGGAAGCCAATGTGAGAGGATCTTGAGCCAGGAGTTTGAGACCAGCCTGGACAACGTAGTGAGACCCCATCTCCATCACAAAAAAAAACAAAAAACACCACCATTCTGGGTTGTTTTTCTGAAGAAATTCCCGTTGGCCACAGCTGGATCCCTAGGAATCCCTCATGACACAAGTTATCCTATTGCCCTGCCTCTGTTCCAATTTCAAACCACAGCTTGAAATGATCTGCTAAAGGAAGAGCTCTTCTCGTCGCAACCCCGTCCTCAGCAGGGGACTCCTCCCACCACACAGACTCAGAGAGGTCATCCAAGTTATCCCACTACCTCGCTGGCCCATGGTGGAGCCACAGCCAGGTTCACCCATCCCCAATGCGAGTTTACCTCTTCCCTGGAGCACAGGGCCTCCCTTCCAGACAAGCTTACTGAGCTCCAGGGGAATAAGGCAAGGTTTGAGCAGTGAGCCCTAGGTGCCTACCACAGCCCCAGCAACCCTCCATATCCTCTCACAGCATCCTGACAGCCCCTGCCCCTGCCTTCCACCTACCTTCTCTCCGATCTGCTGATCCTTGGAGAGGCTAGTGATCATCTTCACATCTTCATCGGTCAGTTCCCCTACAGCAACCTTGTTGTCCTTCTTGGCCACGTGGTTGGCTAGGATGACAGTGGCAAAGACAGGGAAGCCATTGGCAGTGTTGAGGGAGCCATCATAGTTGTTGTGATAGATGCCAGTCAGCTCCTGGGGAAAGGGAGGGGCCAAGAAGTCAGAGCCTAACCCAGGGGTGCCCACCTCCGTGCTGCCTTCCTCCAGTTTCTCCTATTGCAAGTGCTCCACACTACAGACACCAAGATAAGTAACTCAGTAAAACCCCTCCTAAACCCACCATTCCAACAACCCATCCACCAGAAGAAAGTTCTTTGCCTCAGCCATGCAAAAACAGATCCTAGCCCGAGTGCCCCTGCGACCATAGACACCGCCACCGGCCCAGCCACAACTGCTTCTGCCAGTTCCCTCTGCAACTTGGCTCCCTCCCAGCCTGCCCCGGCCACTTACTATCTCGTCTCCTGGCTTGCAGCTGTCCACCAGATCTGCGAGGAGAATGGCGTCCTTGGAGCGGGGCAGCCGGCCAGCCGCCACTTTGCCTGGACTCTCCTGGATTCGGATACGCTGGTAGTTCTGATAGATGGTCTGCGAGGGACACACAGAAGGCCTCAAATCACTGACTTACTATGTCACCTAACCTTGACCCCCGAACAGGAGGGAGAACAGGCAGGATTCCGACTCCTGAGTGGCAAATGGAGAGCCAAAGACAGCAAGGAATGAGTTCATGGCGACTCAGCACATCAGTTGACAGTCCCCACTCCTGCCACACCATCCCTCTGGGATGCCTTCTGACGGCCAGACTCAGCACCTGCTCTATGCTTTACAGCTAAGCTGTCTTGAGTACCGATGCTGGAACCAGGCTGCCTGGGTTCTGTGTCTAAGCTGTGTGATCTTGGGCAAGTGACTTCCTCTCTCTGTGCCTTCTCTGCAACCTCACAATAAGAATTAAAGCAAGTCATACATACATCAACCTAATCCAGCATCTGATAAATGTTAAGTTACAGGAAGTTTTGGCTGTCACTGTCAAGTATCACAGGCCAGCACTGTGCCATGTCATTTCGTACCCATTATCTCACAACATGGCACTGCAGTTAAAAGCACATGCTCTAGATCAAGATGCCTGAGCTGTGGACCTCTAACACACATTCTGGTTGGGTGACCTCAGCCAGTTCTCTAAACACTCGGCAAAGTGGGGCCAGTAACAGTTCCTGCCTCATGAGCTGTGAAAAAGGACCAGGTAATAAACCACCCACCACCTGGCACTGGTAAGTTACTCCATGAATGATAGCTGTAACTGTTAACCCTCTACCAGGTACTATCTCAGGTCCCTAGAAGCAAGGCCTGAGGGAGACAGACAGGGCATGGGAAGAGTGAGCAAAGACGTGGCTCAGCTGGCATCTGGCCTGCAGCTGCCCCACCCGAGACGAGACGGGTCAGCTTTTGGCTGTAGGTGGCCACAGGTGGAACCTCTGAGGCATTTTCTGGCAAGGTGGCTCCAGCTGGGACAGTTCGCAGAACTGCACTGCAGAGCGGTGAGAAGAGGACAGCCAACAGCCACAGCAGCAAGGCAGTCAAGGGGCCTGGGCGCCACCACAGCGATGGCGATGAGCCCATTTACAGGGACGCTCAAGTACAAAGGCACATTACATGTGCCTAAGACCTTAACATCAGAGGCTTTGGCAGCGTCTCCTGAATATGGTGCAGGAGGTTGGTATGGTCCAGGGGCCCCACGTGAGCCAGACAGGTCCCAGAAACAAGCTGAGGGGAAGTCCCGATGGGACTGCAGCCACCCCACGTGAGTGATGGCACCATGGAGACTGGTAAGCACACATCCTGAAGGAGTGACCTGGCAAGAAGTGGGCCCTGTTTGCCAGATCTTCTCATGTTTCAAGAGGAGCCATAAACTTGTATGGTTTAAACAAATCGCCTGACTTAAATATTGACTTGAATTCCTAAAAACGTCGTGTGGGCCAAGCTAAGTCCACTGGCCAGACAGACTGGGTCCACCCCAGGGTGTGGCCAACACACAATTCTATCTTGCTTCTTGCGGCTGCCCACACTGGTCTTCCACAGCCTGAGAGGCCAGTCAGGTCCTGCATACTGGGCACCCCTAAGGACAGCTGGCAGCAGACCTTGTGTCCTCTCTCACCTCCTCCATGTTGACCTCAAAGGGGCCGGCCGACTGGCACTCAGGACAGGAGCCTGGTTTCACCTCCTGGTTCTGGGACTGGCAGAAAGGACCCAGGACGAAATTGCACTTGTTGCAGTTGTACTTGACCATGCTGAGCTGGGGCAGGACGCCAGTGCAGCTGGTCACCACCCCACTGGTGCGGATCAGCTGGTTCAGATGCAGCTGCCTGCGGAGGCAGAGGGTGCATCAGAAGCCGTGAGCCAGGGTGAGGCCAGGCTGCAGACGAGAGTGTCCCAACACACTGTCCTGGAAATTGGGCCCAGCCCCCAGCCCGGGAAGATCCCTCCCATCACACTCCTGTGCAACCACAACTCACCTGCGATGAGGATGCTGCTGGCTGCACCCTCCCCGCCCACACCACAATCGCTCTTCAGGAATCACGACCGAGTCACCCAGCACTGAGCTCGGACCTGCCATCCTCACCTGCCCTCAGCTCACCTCAGCGAGCGCAGCTCCTCCACCAGAGGCAGGTGGGAGATGCGGACATGGATGTGGTTGGTGATGCGGTCGTACTTGGGGTACATGGCCAGTACCACCTCCAGGGCAGCCTCATCAAAGATCTGCAGCAGCTCCGCCGGTGCCTCAGGCAGGAAGTAGGCCAGCACGTGCTCCCTGGCTGCCAAGTCCTCATAGTTCACCACCAGGCTCTCACGGTTCTCTAGAAGGGGGCACAGTGGGAAGAGAGTTAACTAAGCATGAGGCCTGGGCTGGGCTGCAACAATGCCTGTGTGAGAAGCAAGGCCTACCCACCCCGACCATTGATTTTGACCTAGAAAGCCCAGCTTTCACTTCTAGGTCTACCACACTTCAGCTGTGACATAGCCTGAGCTTCAACTTCCTACTCCGTAAAATGGGCATGTCACACAGTGTACAAAGTTGCTGGGGGGTTAAATTAAATATGAGCAGAGTGCCTACACAGCTACAAACATGAAACGCCTTACAAGAGCCAGGAAGAAACTGACAAACACAGGACAAAAAGCAGTGGAAGGAATTGCAGGAATCAAGATCTACATGTCCCTTTTAAAAGTCAATTCCTGGCTGGGGACGGTGGCTCACGCCTGTTATCTCAACACTCTGGGAGGCCAAGGCGGGCAAATCACCTGAGGTCGGGAGTTTGAGACCAGTCTGACCAACATGGAGAAACCCCTTCTCTACTAAAAAAAAAAAATTAGTCAGGCATGGTGGTGCATGCCTGTAATTCCAGCTACTCGGGAGGCTGAGGCATGAGAAACGCTTGAACCCAGGAGGCGGAGGTTGCAGTGAGCCGAGACCGTGCCATTGCACTCCAGCCTGGGAAACAAGAACAAAACTCCGTCTCAAAAAAAAAAAAAAAAAAAAAAAGAGTCAATTCCTATTACAAAGATCAAAGTAGTAATCCAGATTTTTATATAAAATCTGTCCATTTTCAAGCTTGTCAAAAAACGCTTTGGTGGCCCAGATGTGGTCACTGCATAGCCAGCAGGAGAGCCCTGATGCAAAACTCAAAACTTTTGGTTTCTCTGACAGACCTCTCAGCCATATGCCCTGTGCTTCACGTGTTCACTCGGCTCAGACAACTTTCTGGGGAGGATTTAGGGAGGCGCTACAGGGGCTGAGGCGGGGGCGTAGGGAAGCCACACCTTTGCACATGTCGCTGATGCGCTCCTTGAAGACGTTGTGGCCGTGGCTGTCGACGTGAGTGCGCAGGAAGTTCTTGAAGCGGTGGTGGATCTCCAGCCGGGGGCCCGCCATGCTCACCCACTCGCGCACAGAGTGGCCTTTGAGATCCTCCAGGTTCTCGATGCTCTCGATCATCTCCTCGTCCTCCTCGCCGTCCTCCGTGGCCCGCTCCACCTGGCGGCGCTTGCGGGCAGGGCGCTCCTCGTCCTCCTCATCGCTGTCTGGGGAGGCAAGAGACACCTGCTACTGCGGTCATCCCCAGCACCTTCTACTCCCCTCCCAGACTCCTTCCCAGCTTCCCAGTCCCTCGGGCAGGCAGACAACTGGACCTACCATACAGGAGCCCACGGCGCATGCGGCCCAGGCCCCGGCCAGCCTCCCGGTCACGCTGCCGCATGGCCCGCTCTGCTGCCTCCCTCTGACTGGCCGTCAGCTCCTCTACGTCCTCATCATCCAGAGCCAGTCCCTCGGCCTCATAGGCGTCCAGCTCTGGGATGGCGCGGTAGTCCCTGAGGGAGCACCAAAACAGATGTGGTTACTGCCAAAAAGGAAAACCCTAAGCACCAAACCCCATCCAGGAACTGGGCCTGTTCCCTAAGGTTCAGGAGCCCCATTGTGGGTAGGCTCAGCGCTTCCAGGTCAGAAACACAGAAGGCTCAGAAAAGATCTCCAATGGATGAACAAAACACGATCTGTCCATATGATGGACGATGAAGCCTTAAAATAGAAGGAAATTCTGCCACGTGCTGGCACATGGATGAACCTTGAGGACATGATTCTGAGTGAAAGAAGCCAGGCACAAAAGGACAAATCCTATATGGTTCCACTCACTGAGCGGTCAAATTCACAGAAACAGAAAGTAAAATGATGGTTGCTAGGTGCTGGGAAGAATGGGGAGTTAGTGTTTAACCGAGACAGTTTCAGTTTTCAAACTGAAAAGACTTTTGTGGATGGATGGCGGTGATGGCCGCACAACAATATGAATGTACTTAATGCCACTGAACCATACACATAAGAATGGTTAAGATGGCTGGGCATGGTGGTTCATGCCTATAATTCCAGCACTTTGGGAGGTGAAGGCAGGAGGATCACTTGAGCCCAGGAGTTCAAGAACAGCCTTAACATAGTGAGACCCCATCTGTATAAAAATAGAAAATGGCCGGGCACGGTGGCTCATGCCTGTAATCCCAGCACTTTGGGAGGCCAAGGCGGATGAATCACGAAGTCAAGAGATTGAGACCATCCTGGCGAACATGGTAAAACTCCATCTCTACTAAAAATACAAAAATTAGCTGGGCGTAGTGTCATGTGCCTCTAGTCCCAGCTACTCGAGAGGCTGAGGCAGGAGAATCGCTTGAACCCGGGAGGCAGAGGTTGCAGTGAGCAGAGATTGTGCCACTGCACTCCAGCCTGGTCGCAACAGAGTGAGACTCCGTCTCAAAAAAAACAAAAAGAAAAAAAAAATAACCCAGGCCTGGTGGCACATGCCTATAGTCCTAGCTACTCAGGAGGCTGAGCTGGGAGGATTGCTTGAGCGCAGGAGTTCAAGGCTGCAGTGAGCCACGTTCGTGCCACTGCATTCCAGCCTGGGTGACAGAGTAAGACCCTGTCTCAAAAAACTAGCAAACAAAACAAAACAAACAAACAAACAAAAGGGCTGGGTGCGGTGGCTCATGCCTGTAATCCTAGCACTTTGAACCAGGGAGGCAGAGGTTGCAGTGAGCCGAGATAGCACCACTGCACTCCAGCCTGGGCAACAAGAGTGAAACTCCGTCTCAAACAAACAAACAAACAAAAAAGGTTAAGATGGTAAATTTTGGGCCAGGGCAGTAGCTCATGCTTGTAATCCCAGCACTTTGGGAGGCTGAGGCGGGCGGATCACGAGGTCAGGAGATCGAGACCATCCTGGCTAACACGGTGAAACCCCGTCTCTACTAAAAATACAAAAATTACTTGGGCGCGGTGGTGGGCGCCTGTAGTCCCAGCTACTTGGGAAGCTGAGGCAGGAGAATCACTTTCGGAGGTTGCAGTGAGCCGAGATCACACCACTGCACTCCAGCCTGGCAACAGAGTGAGACTCTGTCTCAAAAAAAAAACAAAAGAAAAGGTAAATTTTGTTATGTGTATTTTACCACAATTACAAAAGGGGAGGTAGATCTCCAGACAGCTTCTATGCGCCCAATAAGAAAAAATAATTCAAGGAACCACAAAACATTAGACCAAAAGGCTTCAGAGAGCTGACCCAACTCCCCGTGAGGGCTGGAATTCTCCCTGTACTTTCCCCATCTCTGACTATGCCGCCTTCAACAACCTGATGTCCTGGCTTCCATGCACAGTCAGCCAAACCAGCCCTCTGAAATGGCCACCCACTGTCTCAACCCTTTGAGCTACTCTAAGACCATCAGACACACATTTTCCACATTATCTTCCTTCAGATACTGAAGAGAAGTAATGCCTTAATAAGGCACCCAGCGAGTGCAAAGCACTGTGCTCTCTTCCCTGCAGTGCTCTCTTCCCTGAGGAGGAGACACTGTCATTCCATCTGAAAGATGAGGAAATGGGTAGTTGAGGGGAAAATGTGATTTTTGCCTATGGTCGCTCTGTAGACCTGAGTGTCAAAATATAGTCCAAGCCCAGAGCTCCTTCCCCCATGCCATACTGCCTCCCCAAGACAATCCCCTTGAATTCTCCTTTTTTCAGGTTAAATGGTGACAAGAGAAACTGCTACTATTTTTCTGCAATAAACATTGTCAAACTACTGTCAGAACAAATCTTTTTATGCTGTTGATGCCCCAAGCAGAACCCAGCCAGGCAGATATCAGAGTTGACCAGGTCTGATTTCTTCCATGTTTTCGGGGAAAAGGTATCGGTCCCATTCTCCCTGGATCTCAAGTCACACAAAATGCCCTCAGCAAACTTCTAATTGGTTCATACAAAAAAAAAAAAAAAAAAAAGTTAAACTGGACTTCATCAAATTTCAAAACTTTTGCACTTCAAAAGAAAACATTAAAACCACGAAAAAGATAAGCCAGATTGAGGAGAAAATAACTGCAAATTACATATCTGATAGAGGACTTATATTCAGAATATGTAAAAAACCTCTTACAACTCAATAGTAAAAAGACAAGCAACCCAATTAAAAAGTGAGTCCAGGATTTCTCTGAAGATACACAGATAGCCAATCAAGCATACGAAAAGATGTTCAACATCATTAGCCATCAGGAATGAGATGCCACTTCACACCTGCAGGGATGGCCAGAATCAAAAAGACCAATGTTGGCAAGAACACGGAGGAGTGGAACCCTCATGTGTTGCTGGTGGGAATGCAAGATAGTGCAGCTGCTTTTGAAAACAGTCTGGCAGTTCCTCAAAAGATTAAACACAAGACCAACAATCTCACTCCTACATAGCCAACAGAATTAAAGATCTGGTCACATAAAAACCTGTAACGGGCCGGGTGTGGTGGCTCACACCTGTAATCCCAGCACTTTGGGAGGCTGAAGCACGTGGATCACCTGAGGTCAGGGGTTCAAGACCAGCCTGGCCAACATGGTAAAACCGAAACCGCATCTCTACTAAAAATAGAAAAATTAGCCGGTGTGGTGGCAAATGTCTGTGATCCCAGCTACTTGGGAGGCTGAGGCAGGAGAATTGCTTGAACCTGGGAGGCGGAGGTTGCAGTGAGCTGAGATTGTGCCACTACACTGCAGCCTAAGCGACAGAGCAAAACTCAAAAACAAACAAACAAACAAACAAAAAAACACGACCTGTAATGAATGTTCATAGCAACATTATTCATAATCGCCAAAAGGCTTGAGGAAGCCAACATCCATCAACTGATGAATAGATGTGGTATCTCCATACAAAGAAATATGATTCAGCCACAAAAAGGAATGGAGTGCTGCACATGCAAGAACACAGAAAGACCTTAAAACCACACTAAGAGAAAAAAGCCCACCACAAAAGTGCATATATAATATGATTCAATTTATATGAAATGACCAGATTGGAAAATCTAGAGACAGGTCTTTAATTCTTACCTGTGGGTTGGGTAAGAACTGAGAATGAACTATAAGCAGGCAGGAGGGACCTCAATGGGAAAACGGCCCTGTTCTCACACTGGATTGTGGTGAAGGCTGCATAACTCAGGAAATTTACCATGAATTTGCATTGAATTATATTTTCGCAAGGGGTAAACTCTAAAAAACTATAGCCCAATAAAGTTTTTTTTTTTTTTTTTGAAAAACCACAAAAACAAATGTAATTGGGCTCAGCCATCCCTCAGATACCTCTACCCAGAAGCCCCCTGCCAAGGGCCTCTCTCTTTGCTTCTCAGAGAAGCAAAGAGAAAGGGTCAAGACAGGGAGGGGAAACAGCAGAGGAGGGGCATCCGGCCTGAACAACTCCATCAGGCAGAACAGGAAAGCCGTCTAGGACCCATGCCCTGACCCCAAGTCCAGGGCAGATTTATCCAGACTCCTCATTCCTTCTACAGCCTACAGCACATGCAGTCTCATCGTTGGGGGTGGTACTGATAATAGCAAAGATGCATCCAGTCTGGAGTGCCCTTGAAAGCCTCTCAACTGTCTGACATCCTAGGGACGGCAGGATGCCCTGCACAGTACTCTCACACATGCTAAGGCTGAAAAGGCACAAAAGGAGCATCTCCACGAGGCTCCTGGGCATTCACACAATTCCGCTACTGACGTTATCTACCAGATCGCAGCTGGAAATGCAGAGTAAGGCAGGGGTAGAAATCTAGCCTTGCTTATGCGCAGAGCTTACTCCACTCTCCTAGCATTAAGTCTTGCTAACTTATTTATTTATTTATTTTTGAAACAGAGTTTCACTCTTTTCGCCCAGGCTGGAGTGCAGTGGTGTGATCTCAGCTCACTGCAACCTATGCCTCCTGGGTTGAAGTGATTCTCCTGCCTTAGCCTCCCAAGTAGCTGGGACTACAAGCACGCACCACCATGCACAGCTAATTTTTTGTATTTTTAGCAGAGACGGGGTTTCACCCTGTTGACCAGGCTGGTTTCAAACTCCTGACCTCAGGTGATCCGCCCACCTCGGCCTCCCAAAGTGCTGGGATTACAGGTGTGAGCCACCACATGTTTACTAATAAACAAGACCATTCCTAACAAAGGGCATGGTGCACATTAGGTACAATAAATGTTTGCTGATTGACTCTAAAACTTTATTTATCAGATCCCTCCTCCCCCATGCACCTTTCCTTTGAAAAGTTACTGGGAAACACTGGGCTTCCTGCTTCCTGTCTTTTTGAGTTGGAGTATTCCAGATTAGAGACCCCTACATTCTCTGGGGTGCTTATGGAGTCGGGGCTTATCCTCAGCTTAGGGTCTAGTCTTTCCAAGTTACATGCAGTAAGTTAAAGAGACCTGTGTCATGGCTCTGTAAACCTGTCTCCTCAGAACCCTGGATCAAGCTGTGCTCAAAGGCAAGAATGCCATCGATTCATCTGCTCCCAGCTCCCAAAGCCAGGCCACCAGGCACACAATGGGCTCTCTGCAAAACTATCTGCTGAGTCCAGGGCCTTGAATGAAATTACCTTTCCATGCCATCTCCAATGAGCTCCTCTCCATCCTCTTCTTCCTCCAGGGGCCCCTCTGTGCCTAGGAGCCCCTCGGACTCATCCTCAAATGGTGGAAGGTCACGGCCAGGGCTGGAGGTGAGGGCATCAGTACGCCGGGAGCTTCGGCCAGGGCTGGAGGTGAGAGGATCATTGCCTCGCCGACGCTGGGCCGGGCTGGATGCCATGGTGAAGGATTCCGATGATTCCTGCAAGAGAAGGTGCGGTTGTCAGAAACCTAGGAAGCTGGTGAGGCATGATACAGCTTCCTTTTTACCATCAGGGGCCTTCCCTTCTTTCTCTCCACCTGTGACTCTTGTCCTCCAACACACCAAACCCCTTCCAGCCTCCAGATCTTTGCCCTTGCTGTTCTCTCACCTGGAATGCTCTCAGCTGAGCAATCTGAGTCAGTGGCTTCCAAACAAATAGAAGCCAGCTCAAATATCGGGGTCACCCACATCACCGTGCTTTCTCCATGAAAAACCACTGAGGTTATGTCATTTGCCTATTTACCTGTTTACTGTCTATTATCTCCCCTTAAGCATTAGACCTATTTCAGCACACACAGTGCGCAAGGTATTGTGATAGAGATGGCATAGAAGAGCCACCAAAACAAGAGGTCTGGAACTCAGATGTGGAACAGACAGTATACAAGACAAAGGGACAAGAAGGTAATACAAAAGTAAGTGTAGTGTTTGGAACAAGGATCATTGGGAAATTAAAAAAAAAAAAAGTTTAAAGGAGTGTAGTGAAATGGGGGCCTGTCTTTTGTACGCTCAGCGCCACACAGATGGCGCCCAATAAGTATGTGTGGGGTGAATAAAGGACAGAGGCTGAACGGGCCGAGCTCGCCTTAGGGAGCCCAGGGCCCCAGGTCAGTGGTAGGTAGGCGAGTCGCCTCACGCAGGGTGCAGGCGAGAAAGTAGCTGCGCCCCAGAGCCTGGGGCCCAGCCTCACCCAGAGCGCCGCCCTGGGCCGGGGCCAGAGTACGGGAAGCGCGCAGCCTCCGCACCCATGTCCCCGGCGCCCGCCCGCCACGCGCCAGCGCGCTCACCGCCATAGCAGTACCACGATCCTCTCCGCCACTACAGCAACAACCAGGTTTCGCGCGAAAAGTGGTTCACGTGACCCACCAAAGCCCGGGAAGAGCCCTACGGAACGCGACGTCATGACGTCGGCGTCCACTGGCGACCAGAAGGGACACGGAGGGGCGGGCCAGAGGGTCCGGTCCCGCCTACAACGCCCGAGGCGCTCCGCCCAGAGCCCGGAGGTGTGCGGCCCGGCGCTGTGCGCGTGCGCTCGCCTGCGCTGTGGTGGGAGCTGGAGCGGAGGTAGAAGCTGAGGCTCCAGGGGACCCGACGACACTTGCTGGCTGCGTGACCTCGGTCACACCAGGGCCATTTTGCTGACAAGACAACAGAGGCCGGGCGCGGTGGCTCACGCCTGTAATCCCAGCACTTTGGGAAGCCGAGGTGGGCGGATCACAAGCTCAGGAGTTCGAGACCAGCCTGACTAACATGGTGAAACCCAGTCTTTACTAAAAATACAAAAATTAGTTGGGCATGGTGGCACGGGCCTGTAATCCCAGCTACTCGGGAGGCTGAGGCAGAAGAATCGCTTGAACCTGGGAGGTGGAGGTTGCGGTGAGCCGAGATCCCGCCACTGCACTCCAGCCTGGGTGACAGAGTGAGACTCCGTCTCAAAAAAAAAAAAAGACAGCAGAGGTTCAGAGCCTGGTTTTCTGACGCTTCTTACCGTCTTAGGAGCACAATGGTTTAACTTCTCCCAAAGCTCAAAGGCTCAATACTTCAAGCAGCTGGACAACTCTGGGATTTTGTAGGAGGTCACATCTGAGGCTTTAGTAGGAGTTATCTTTGCCCAGGGGAGCGAAGACGCAGGGAGGATGTTACAGATAGAAGGATGCCATGTGCAAAGCTGCAGAGGTCATGGCAGGGCCCGGATGTGCAAGCCCCTCCCTAAGAACTAACCCTAGGAGCTTATGATGCCGGGCAACAGACAAGACTTGAGGGAGAGAAAATCCGGATCAAAAAAGAGCTAGATGTTTTTCTAGAGAGTTTGACTATTCTGTATTCTGAAAGCAATGGAAGGCCATGGAAGCATTTTGAGCAGGGTGAGACGTGAACTAGTGTGGGTTTTAGAATCCCTCTGGCTGCTACCAGGTGGAAGTGGATTGAACGAGGTTGAAGGCAGCAAACGAGGAGGTTGCTGTGGTTCTTGTCTAGTTCCAGGCAGCCTTAGTGAGCAGAGGCAGGGCTGAATCGCAACCCTCTTAGCCAGGCACTTTGTGCAGTGAACAAGCATCTCTGCCTGGGACCCAGGGTAGGGAGGCAGGAGTGATGGAGAGAACTGGAAATACAAGATGTTTAGGAGGTGGAATCTTTTTTTTTTTTTTGAGACAGAGTCACTCTGTCACCCAGGCTGGAGTGCAGTGGTGCAACCTCAGCTCACTGCAACCTCCACCTCCCAAGTTCAAGCGATTCTCGTGCCTTAGCCTCCCGAGTAGCTGGGATTAGAGATGCACGCCATTGTGCCCGGTTAATTTTTGTATTTTTAGTAGAGATGGGATTTCACCATTGTTAGCTAGGCTGGTCTCCAACTCCTGACAAGTGGATCCGCCTGCCTTGGCCTCCCATAGTGCTAGGATTACAGGCGTGAGCCACCACGCCCGGCCAGGAAGTGGGGTCTATAGGTGTTGGTGATTGAGGACAGCAAAAGAGGCATGCAGGATGACACCAGGATCCTGGCTTAGCTAGGTGGATGATAGCTGAGATAGGAGCGCACAGGAAGACCAGCAATTTAAGGGGGAAGAAGATGAGTTTGTTTCTGGCTGTGCTGAATTTGGGCCGAGGGGACATATCCAGGAAGCTGTTGGATATCCATGTATGGGACTCAAGGGCGTGTTTGGACTGAAGCTGTAGATTGCCTTGGGAGTGGTTGTATAATCCAGAGTGAGTGCAGGGAGATGAGAAGGTCTAAGCCTGGGACCTGGGAAACCCCAACAGTTAAGAGACACCAACAAAGGATGTGAAGGATGCACCTCGGATGCTAGGAGCTGCTGACAGGAAAGCTGAAGAGACTCTGCATGGGCTTGTGTTATCTATTGCTGCATAAAAAATTATCCTGGGATGGCCAGGCATGGTGGCTCACACCTGTAATCCCAGCACTTTGGGAGGCTGAGGCAGGTGGATCACCTGAGGTCAGGAGTTCAAGACCAGCCTGACCAACATGGAGAAACCCTGTCTCTATTAAAAATCCAAAATTAGCCAGGCGTAGTGGCGCATGCCTGTAATCCCAACTACTCAGGAGGCTGAGGCAGGAGAATCACTTGAACACTGGAGGTGGAGGTTGCGGTGAGCCGAAATTGTGCCATTGCACTCCAGCCTGGGCAAAAAGAGCGAAACTCTATCTCAAAAAAAAAAAAATTATCCTGGGATTTAGCACCTTGAAGCAATTAGCACCCACTGTCTCGGTGTCTGTGGATCAGGGATCTGGACACGATGCCACTGGGTGCCTCTTCTTCAAGGTCTTTCAAGGCTGCAGGCAAGGTATTGGCCAGGGCTGCTGTCTCCTCTGAAGGCTCATCTTCAGGAGGATCCCCTTCCAAGCTTCTTCACATGATAGGATTCAGGTCCTCATAGGCTGTTGGACTGAAGACTTAGTTTCCCACTGGCTCTTGGGTGGGGGCCTCTCTACAGAGCAGCTTACAACCTGGCAGCTGGTTTCTTTCAGAGCAAGCGAACAAGAGAGAGAGGCCATACAAGACAGATGCCATGTCTTGGAAGTGATATTCCTTTACTTTTGCCATATTCTCTTAGCGAGAAGTGAGTCCTGAGGTCCGGCCCACACTGAAGGAGAGGAGATCCTAGCAGGGCTGGGGATTATCAGGAGCCCTCCCAAAGGCCACTGAAGAGAGCAGTCAAGATGGTGGATGGGGTCAGCTGGCTGCCCAGAGGTCATCTGATAAGGACTAGGAGCTGTTAGTGGCCCTGGCGATAGCAGATCTGGGCTGGCCGGTGTGTCTGGAGTCAGACACTACATTGAAGTGTGTTGACAGGTAGGATGCAGGGAAGTGAGAAGGGTGAATGTGAGTTACTAGTTGGAGGCTGGAGTGCTTTTATGTCACCCAAAGATGTATGGGTCAGAGAGGCATTCCCAGGTGTGGAATGGACTGTGAGAGCTGGGACAGGCACTGGAGTGGGATATGGCTTTTTCTCAGATGAGAGGTTCTTGGACATGTTTAAACACTGGTTGGGGGCAGGGTAGGAGAGACAGAAAGGTGGGTGGGGTGAGTAGGCAGCCTCTATTATGGCCCTGATGGCCCTTGCCTTCTGGTATTCACACCCTTGTGTGATCTCCTCCCAACAGCATAGGACAGATGTGGTTGGATGTTACTTTGGAGATTCAGTTACAAAAAGACTGCAGCTTTGCTCACTCTGAGAGAAGGCAGCATCCATGTCTTGAGGACACTCAGGCAGCCTGGGACAGGCTTGGGGAGTGAGGAGCTGGGACCCCAGCCAACAGTCATGCTGGACTTGCTCCAGGACACATCACCTTGGGGTTTGCTCTTCCCAGGTCAGTAGGCATCCAGCGCTGGGGCAGCTGCTTCAGGACATCGCCGAGGACAAGTCTCCTCCCCATTCTGGTTCCACCATCTGTAGCCTGTGGCTTTCATCCTCAAGGGCTCCATGCGACCGCTGCACATCCAGGTACTACATCTGACCCATGTATTGAGCCAGCTCAGCTGTGATCAAGCGCAGCCTTTTTCCTCCGTAAGAACTGCCCATTGGCGTAGTTGTGAACTGAGGCAGAGGAGCTGCTGTGGCAGTGGTAGGTGATGTGGATGTACAACGGATTGCTTACAGTCTCAGTGGATTGCTGCTAGGCCCACCCACCTGAATTTACATATTAGAGGGCCTGACAGAACCCAGTTCATGAGGGGCAGCTCTGGCCTCATGGTCACTTGATGTCCCCTAGTCATCTCTACCAGGGTCCAGTAGCCTGGCAGAGCTGCTTTGTGAATGGTGTCTAGTTCTCTACTATAGATGACCTGGTCTTGCTCCAGAACCCTAGGGGGTCTACTTTGTGGTTTTTCCCACCAGAGCTTGCTGTAAGCTTCACACAGCATATCTTCCCACCATGTATGCCTCTAGTATCATGGGGTCTGTGGGTCCCATAGCCTGAGGGACAGCCTTTGATGTCATGTGACCCAGAGATATGTGGGTCAGAGCAGCACTCCCAGGTGTGGAATCTGCTACCTCCAGAACCCAAAGAGGCCTCTAAGCATTGTGCTTGCTCTTCTGTGATGGAGTGTGCAGGGGGATGTTCTGGTGTGCCCCACACCACCAGACCCCTACAAACCTCACTGATGTGGCAAGCCCCTAATTCTTCATAGGGTTTAATCTTCTGCCCGCTGGAGCACATATGTCTCATCAAGTTTTCCATGTACTTGTCACCTCCTGCTCATCCATCCTGATTAGCACATTGTCATTGACACCATGAACCAGTGCAGTGTTCTGCAAGACGTTCAGATGGCCCAGTCTCCTTCAGACTGTGATGACAAAGGATGGGAAAGGTATCATTGGCCTGGGGCAAGACCATATGTGTGTATTGTTGGCCGTTCCTATGAGTGCAAATGGTCCCTGATAGGGATGAAAAAGTGTGGTGATCAGATGGCCCCTGAGAAGCGGGGGCCGTGCTGATCTGTCTGTGCTAGCAATGCACCTGCACAGCACCTGTGGTCAGGGCTACCACTTGGCTGAATCTGCAATAGTCCATTGCCACTCTGTTTATTTTTATAAGGTCAGACTGATGAATTAAATAGGTACATGGTGGGGGATACCCTCCACACGTCTTTGGTCTTCAAGGGTGGCACCAGTCTCCGCCATTTTCTCTGGTGTGTGATGTTGTTTATGTGCTTGCTCTCTTGGCCGGGGTGGGTGGTGGTGATAGTGGGGTCTCAGAGGCTTTCACTTGACTTTTACTACCATCACTCTCACCCCATAGACCAAGGAACCAGTGCAGGCATTTTGTTTACTACACAGGATGTCTATCCCAGTGATATATTGAGCTTGATCTTGATGGTCCTATGACAGTTGCACCCACTTTGCTTCTCACGCCTAAGCACTACCATCTGGCGTCTGTTATCTGGGGATTGCTGTCATCCCCATGGCTATCAGGGAGCCCAGTTCTGTAGCAGCATCTCCTACTGTCAGCCGTGGCCACCCCTGAGCCTGCTGTAGGGTGATGAAGAACCTGAGAGTCAGATCTGTTTATTAAGCTACTATTCATTTAATGTTGCAGATGCCACGCTCTGTCCTGTGTGTAGTGGATACTGCAGTGAATTAGCCACTGCCTCAGCTCTCAAAGGCAGATACCTTTGGTTATTTCACAAATACAACAAAATCCCACAGAAACTTAGATATGGGGTTCAAAACTCAAGAGAAGAAAATGCAGAATTCTCCAAGTCTCAAAAGGCAGAAAAATAAAAATAGAGGGTTTAAGATTCTTCCTGGGGCCTGAAAGCTTAAGATGAATAACTCCTCCCTTCTCAGGCCCAGTTCCAAGGTGCAAGGCTACTTGTGCCAGCAAGATAGCAGAAGCAGGACAAGAGCTGGCTGGAAGACACCTACCGTGGTGGGAAGACATGTACCCGTGAAGATCGAGAAAGAGTCCATCCGGGTACAACGTAGCAGTTACGTCAGACTAGGACACTTCCTGTTTACAGGAGACTATAAAACCTTTGCCGCGTCCTCACTTGGGGCTGATGCCATTTTAGGCCTCAGCCCACCTGCACCCAGGCGCTCATTAAAACAGCATGTTGCGGCCGGGCGCGGTGGCTCACGCCTGTAATCCCAGCACTTTGGGAGGCCGAGGCGGGTGGATCATGAGGTCAGGAGATCGAGACCATCCTGGCTAACAAGGTGAAACCCCGTCTCTACTAAAAATACAAAAAATTAGCCGGGCGCGGTGGCGGGCGCCTGTAGTCCCAGCTACTCGGGAGGCTGAGGCAGGAGAATGGCGTGAACCCGGGAAGCGGAGCTTGCAGTGAGCCGAGATTGCGCCACTGCAGTCCGCAGTCCGACCTGGGCGACAGAGCGAGACTCCGTCTCAAAAAAAAAAAAAAAAAAAAAAAAAAAAACAGCATGTTGCTCCACACCGCCTCGTGTTGTGTGTCGGCGCGCTCGCAGGGTTCGAACCGATACAAGAACCTTACAGAGGGTAGTTATTAGGCCTGGTCACACATGTCCCATGACTTCTACTTCCTGGCACATGGTAGGGTGGCAGTTTCCTGCCCTCTGGAGGCTAGAAGCGGTGGCCAATTGAATGTGCGTGAGAGTGATGTGTATAACTTTCTGGGAGGAACTTGAGGAGCCACTGGATTCCCCACGGCTCATTGTGGCTGTGGTCATTCGTGATTACGCAGGCCGGCATTGCCCAGCCTCTCTGGCGAATATAGAAGCCTAAACTTAGGTATGCACATTTGGGTGTGGTCCAGGCTGGGAAAGTCCCAGAGGATCACAAGGTGGTTTCTTCCCCAATCTCCCTGTGTTTTTAGGACAGGAGCAAGGAGAAGAATGGGACCCAATCTCATTCCAGCCCAGCGGTGCTGTCGCAAGGTGTGAGTCTTGGGGTGCCTGTAATAACTGAGTGCCTACAATCTGCACGAGGCTCTGAGTCAGCCTCAGGATGCTGCAGGGGACATCCTGCAGCTTGGCTCTCTTGGCTCCATCCTCATGACGCTGGAATTCTATAATAGGGTGGGGAGACTGGACGGGGAGGCAGGTAAATGAAAACAATCAGGTGAGAATTAAGATGCTCGGAAGGAAATGAGACTGGACAGCCGCTCCAGCGAGGGTGTCCACAAAACCCTCTAGAGGACATGATGTGGCAAGGAGCCAGCTCTGCGGGGGAACAGGTGTAGAGCCAGGAGCAGGAACAAGCTTGGAACAGCCGAGGGACAGAAACAGAGACCCGCATGGCTTGAGTATGGTGAATGCAGCATCGATGCCAGGGGATAAGACAGGCGCAATCAGGGAGGGCTTTCCAGAGGAACAGGCGTGAAGAACTGTGGAAGTTAGAGTTGGGGAGAGGCGTCCTGGCTGTGTCGCTTCCTCATTGCGCGGCTTTGGTCAAGTTATTTGACCTCTCCAAGCCTCAGGTGGCCCTGTAAAAGGTGACTATAATGACTGCCTAGCAGGGTTGCTAAGAGGAGTGCCCGAGGCATGGCGGCGCCGCGTGGAGCAGGGCGCTGGGAGGCGGCGGCCCTGCGGCGTGGCGCGGCTGGAGCGCGTGGCGCCGGGGAGGGTCCCCGACACGCCTTCCCCCAAGCTGACCCCAGGTCACCCCTGCAGGGCGCCCGAAGCGCCCGCACGCGAGGGGGCGGTCCCCGGAGGCTCCGCCCCGACGGTCCGGCCGCGGCCCAGGCCGGGAGGTGGAGCGCGGCTGCCGCCAGCTGGTCCACTGACAACTGCTGCCAGCTGGAAGGCGCGTAGGGCGAGAGGTGGCGCGTCCTCAGCTTTCCAGTCTTCGATTCCGCCCGCTTTCCGAGTGAGAAACGCAGGCCTCTCTCTTCCGTGAAGCAGCGTCTTGTCTCTGCACCTCCTCTGTGCTGTCTCTTTAAGAGGTCAGCGGGCTGCTCCGCCTCTTGGGAATTTGATTGGTCTCTCCCACTTTTTTTTTTTTTTCCCCCAGTGATGACTTATTCCTATAGGCTGCTGGAGGTTAGAGGGCGGGCCTGAGTGATAACAGGGACTCTGGGACTCTGGGACTTGTGGGACTGTGGCCGTTTTCGCAATTTGGGCTGGACGAAAAAGACGGTCTTGCTTTCCCGGTCGCCGCTGTCGGGAAGGGCTGCAGGGTGTCCGCGAGACCCGCGGCCCGGCGAGCTGACCCCGCCTCGCCTTTCCTGCCTAGCCCTCATTCCACGGAGCCGGTCGCGCCCGGTCCTTGCGCGACGCTTCCCGGCCCAGGCCGCCTGGTCTGGCGCTGGAGGCCGGAGTCCCGCGGCCTGTGCTGGATCCGCGCACACCCAGTGGCGGCGGATGGGCGGCCGGGGCGGCCGGGGCGGCCGGTCCTGAGCGCGGCCCGGGCTGTCAGGTAAGGAGGGGCCTTCTCCCCGTCTCCTGCCGCAGCTAGAGGGGGAGCCCCGTCCCTCGCCCCGGCGGGAAGCCCAGCCGCCGTTCCCCTCCTTGCTCCGCGAGCGGCCCATTTCCGCTCGGGCGCAGCTCGGACGGCCAAGGCGGCGTTTGGGAGGGAAGGCCCTGGATGTGGGAACCCACGGGAGGGGTGCCGGGCAGTCGGGAGTCGCTCGGGGCGCGGGGGCACGCGAGGCCCGGGAGGGAGCCGCACGTAGCGGCGTCGGGCTCGGCCCCGGCTGGAGGCAGTGCGGGTGGAGATCCGGACCTCGGCGACCCGGTCCGGCGCGGGGTGGCGGCACGGGCTCCAGCCCCACGGTGGCTGCCCGCAGCGGCCGAGGTGCTCCTGAGCCAAGCCTGCCGCCGGTTCGGGGCTTTGCTGCCCCGTGAGGGGGCCATGTCGAAGCCTCCGCTCCCTCTGGACTCGGGGAATGCAGGTGGGGGCTGGCTTTGCCCTCTTCTCTGCAGTGAGGAGGGGCCGCAGGGTCGTCCAGTCCCCAGCGGGGCTTGGCGGTGCTGGAGATTCAGTTGTTCCCGTCATAACAACCTGTTGAGGGCTCGTGTCGTGCCAGGCCTTGTTCTAGGGGACCGAGTCCTGAGCACTCCCGGGATAGAGAGTAGTAAATACCCAGACGCGGCTCGGGCGCTGGAGACAGCTGAGAAGGGAAGGCTTCTCAGAGGAGGTGTCAGGAGAGAGCTGGGGGAGAGCCAGCCCAAAGGCCCTGAGGAACGGACCAGCTCAGCAGGTGGAAGGCAAGCAGGGAGGGCAAGGTGCAGGTCAGATTGGGCCCAGGCCTCCCCATCTTACTGGGGTCTCCGGCTTAGGACAGGGACCACACGCCTGCCAGCCCCAAGGCCGAAGGACAACAGGGGAGAGCAAAGTAACTTACTTGGCCTCTGCCCTATGGAGCCTTCCCCACCTTGTCACCCCTGGGCTCCACCCCTTCTCACCACCCTTAGGCCCTAGGGTTTGTAAGCTCAACAACCCGTCGGTGTGGGAAGCACTGAGGGCCCCTCTCCCCAGGGTTTCCTATCCGGTAGCTGTGGGTGGGGTTTGGTCAATCCTGTTGCACAGATGAGAGAGCAGGGAAAGCTGAGTCCCAGAGAGGAGAGAGAAGGCCTTACCCAGTCGTTCTCAGCGGGTCCTGCATTGCGTGACCATGACCTGAGCCTAGCCAGCATCCTGTCCCTCAACTGGGTGGGAGGGAGGGAGGCAGAGGCCCCTGGAATGTTGTGAGTCTGGGAGACTCCTCCCAGGTGGAAGAAACAGTCTGTCCCAGTTTCCCTGTTCCTGGGAGGCCTGGGGTTGCCCAGGGTGCTCTGCACCGCAGGAATTCCTCCTCTGAGAATCACCCCTGGGCTCCACCCCTTCTCACCACCCCTTCTCACCACCCTTAGGCCCCTATCGTGAGCTGACCAACCCCTCCCACTTCTTTGTCAGTGCTTGGGAGCATCAGTCTAAGAGAACTAAGTAGAGAAGGCTGAGGACTGACCCCTTCTCTGCCTCTCCTCTCCTCTGTATAAGGGGACAGTAATTGTCCTCTCTCCCTTAGAAGGCGATGCCATTGTTAAGTGTGTCACCACGTGTAAAGCACTGAGCACCATGTCTGCACATAGGAAGTGTGCATCCTATTAACTAAAAGTCAGTGCGGGCCAGGCGCAGTGGCTCATGCCTGTAATCGTAGCACTTTGGGAGGCTGAAGTGGGTGGATCATCTGAGGTCAGGAGTTTGAGACCAGCTTGGCCAACATGGTGAAACCCCATTTCTACTAAAAATACAAAAATTAGCCGGGTGTGGTGGTGCACACCTGTAATCCCAGCTACTCAGGAGGCTGAGGCGGGAGAATCGCTTGAATCCAGGAGGCGGAGGTTGCAGTGACCCAAGATCGCACCATTGCACTCCAGCCTAGGTGACAAAGCGAGACTCTGTCTCAAAAAAAAAAAAAAAAAAAAGTCAGTGCTTCAGTTATTTCCTAAGCTTTGATACGTAATGGCAATCCTGGTATGGCCAGCAGCCCCATAACCCCAGTGTGGTTGCTGGATCAAGTAGCAGCAGCAGGGGCACCACCTGGGAGCCTGTGGGAAACACAGACTGTTCAGCCCTACCCCTGCCCTTGGGAGCAGCATCTGCATGTTAACAACACCAGGGTATTTCCCACATCAGGTCTGAGAAGATAGCTCTAGAACAAGCCTGGTGCTCTTGACCCACAGGTGGAGAAGCCGAGGCCTGGAGAGGGGCACCTGGCAAGTTGTTGACTGGGGGCCTGGGCTCTGGAGACAGACAGCCTGGATTGCTGGCCTGGCAAGTGGCTGCCCCTCTGAGCTCCACGTGCACAATGCGGATAACATAAGTACCTCCCTCCCAGGGTTGGAGGCCAGGGCTCAGAGGTTAGGCACAGAGGTTACTACGTTGTTGGCAGGGGAGTGGGGGCAGGCAGAGCAGCTGACACCTCCTCTGTGTTTCCTCAGACCCCACAGCAATGGGGGCTTCACAAGAGGTCCATGGACCTGGGAACCAATTCCTTTCCCTCCTTGCCCTTCAGTCTCTTCTCTGGTAATCCCAGCAACTTGGGAGGCTGAGGTGGGAGAATTGCTTGAACCCGGGAGGTGGAGGTTGCAGTGAGCCGACATCGCGCCACTGCACTCCAGCCTGGACGACAGAGCAAGACTCTGTCTCAAAAAAAAAAAAAAAAAAAGAAAAGCAGCAACCACCTTTGTACATGTGTCACTTTTGTAGATGTTTACATCCCTGGTTTTGTTTGATCCTTACGGCACCCTTATTAGGCAGATGTTGTCCCCATGATACTTGGAGGGGGAGTGACTCACCCCAGGTCACACAGCAAGCACGTGGCAGAACCAGCAGTGCAGCCCCGTCTTGTTGACTCCAAAATCTGTGTTAGCTGGAGGTTTTTCACTGGTGAATTAGAGAAGTCAGACTCAAACTGGCCTAGGCAGAAAAGGGGATTTGTTGGGTTTTATAACTGAAAAGTCCAAGCGGGTAGGACTGGCTTTGGATGTGGCTGAATCCAGGGGCTCCAGTGAGCTCATCAAGATCTGTCTCCATCCGTGTCTCAGCTCTCCACTCCTCCGCGTCGGCTTTACTCTGAGGCGGGTACCTGAGCGTGAGGTCAAGGTGGTACAGCCCTGACTTACTGAGCTCAGCAGAGAGTGTTTCCTCAATTGTCAATGAGAATCTGCCCTGAGACTTTTGCTCTAATAATTTATTCTAATAATAATTTAGATCAAAAGCCTCAGGGCAGATTTTCATTGGCCAGGGTGATGGAACATCCTGACTAGCCAGACTTAGATCACAGGTGCATTCCCTGGGTTGTGAAGGGTTAGTCACGCATCCCTAAACTTCCAGAGAGTCTAGAGTCTGGGAGCTGAGTTTCCACCTCAGGAAAACGGTGCTCTTACCAACTGGCAGCAGCCTGGATGCTGGGCAGGCAAAACCAGAAGCCCACCCCGCCCTCCATACCCTGGACTCTGCCTGACTCCCCCACTCTCCTACTCCCTGCCCCTGTTCCTCCCCACTGGCCTCTGTGCCTCAAGGGGCCTCTCAGCTTGCTGGTGACTGCTGGGTGCCTGGCCTGCACCCTGGCCCTGCCCGTCTTGGGGCTGCGTGACATTCCATTCTGGGTCAGAGTTGGTGCTGGGCTGCTAGGACCAGGCGTTCACTCTGCCTGGCTTGGCTTTATAATAGGGGTGGGGATAGCTGGTCATGGTGGCCCACACCTGTAATCTCAGCACTTTGGGAGGCTCAGGCAGGTGGATCACTTGAGGTCCAGAGTTCTAGACCAGCCTGGCCAACATGGCAAAACCCTGTCTCTACTAAAAATACAAAAATTAGCCAGGTGTGGTGGTGCACACTTGTGATCCTAGCTACTTGGGAGGCTGAGATGGGAAGACTCCTTGAACCCAGAAGGCTGAACTTGGGAAGCAGAGGTTGCAGTGAGCTGAGATTGCACCACTGCACTCTAGCCTGGGTGACAGAGTGAGACTTTGTCTGAAAAATATATGAATAAATAAATAATGGGGTGGGGAGGAGAGGGCTGTAGAATCTCCCTCCTTCATCAGGTCACTGATACTCTCAACTCAAAGTTACAAGTTATTATCTCATGCCACCAGAAGTCATGCAGGAGGCGCGCTGCACACCCGCTTCCAGCTGTAAGCTCCTGCATGCTCAGCGTGGTGGCCCAGTCCTCCAGGGGTGCAGGAAGACAGTTCTGGACACCCCACACAGGCACAGATCCCCCCATGAGGCATCACATGCCTTTGCCTCAACCAACTGCTGGCCAGGAGCAGAAGGGCCACCCTTCTTGACTTCGACCAGAGCCACTCTGCAGGGCATGCTAGCTGTAGGGGAAGACAGTTAGTTACTCATTTGGCAGACTGTCCTATGCATTGCAGACATTTGGCAGCCCTGGACCCTGCACACAAAAAAATCCACAGTCCTCCATTCCCTAGCAGTTGCCATGTCAAACTAGAGCAGTGCTCCACACCGGCTCCACCCCAGAGACCATTGGCTGAAATTAATGGAGACTCAACTTCTGGTCCTGGGGAGGGGCCCCTGCTTGAACACTAGGTTTTATGGAGGGATCCTGAACAAAATAGTAGCTTGTTAGTGAGGAAGAAGGGGACAGTGTCTGGTGGTCAGTGTTGGCCTCAGTTGCAAAACATCCAGTGACTCAGGCCAGAAACTGCACCATCAGCCGTCTTTGGCCTCTTCTCTCATTCCCTGTGTTTGATCTGTCAGTGGGTCTTGTTGGCCAAGCCTCCCAAAGGTCTCCCAAGTCCCTCTGTTCCACCTGCACTGCTGCCACTAGTGCAAGCCTCTGTCCTCTCATGCATGGACTGTTGCAGGAGCTCCTCATGGCCTCCCTGTCTCTGTTCCTCCTCCACTTCAGTCCCTTTTCACTGGCATCCTGTCCCCATGGAAACCAGACCTCTCACTCCTTGTAACACCCTTCTGGTTGCACTTAGAGTGAAGTCGAGTTGCATGTGGGACCTGGCCCTGCCAACCTTTCTGGTATCAGCTACCCTGGCCTGTTTTTTGCCCTTGGGACAGGCCAAACCTGTTTCTACCTCTGGACTTGTGCATCTGGATCTTAGGTGATTCTCCCTGGAATGTTCTTTATCTCGATCTTTCCAAGGCTGGCTCCTGCTTATTTATTGAGATCTCGGCTCAAAATGTCACCTTGTTTGACTACCCAGTCCAAGCAGTACCTTTATATTCATTGGGATTTGGGCTAGCTGTTGAAACAAAGGCTAGGATAATAAAATAGATTATTTTTATCTATGCAGGCAGCCTCTGTGCAAGCTGTCCAGTACATGCACGGAGGCCTCATTGTGCTGGGGACCCAGACACCTTCTTTCTCATTGCTCTGTTACCCTCGTACAGGGTTTCTGCCTCGTGGTCTGAGGAGGCTGCTCTTGCTCCCACTGTCGTATCTATATTCCAGCCACCGGGAAGGGAGGAGGGCATGATCTGAAATTAGCAGACCTCACTCTGCTCGTGTCATATGTTTATAACAAAAAAAAAGTTCTTTTTAAAGACAAGTCAGGGTTTTTATCTTTGTTGGGCCTCTGTTTTAGAGTTTATGTCTTCACACCATGGGATTAGATCAAATGACAGGCTGAAGGACTGTCAGCCTGTCTCAGCTCGTGTCCAGTTGGATAAAACTCAGCCACATGGCCACACCCAGTTGCAGGGAAGCTGGGAAAGGTCCCCATTGTGCTGGGAAGCGATGTGTAAGCTAAACTCCATTGGTTCCATCACTAAAGGGAAGGGTAGATGTTGGGGGAACCCAGCAGTCTCTACTGTGTTTCTTGTCATTCTGCTCCACCTCTCTGTTTTCTTCACTTAGCATTTATCTCTAGAAGTTTGCTTCTTTTTTTTTTTTTTTTTTTTTTTTTTTTTTTTTAGACAGGGTCTCACTCTGTGGCCCAGCCTGGAGTGCAGTGGTGTGATCATAGCTTGCTGCTGCCTGCTGCCTGGAGCTCCTGGGCTCAAGTGATCCTTCCACCTCGGCCCCACCGAGTAGCTAAGACTACAGGTATGCACCACCATACCTGGCTAGTTTTTTAAACTTTTTGTAGAAATAGCGTCTTGCTGTGTTGCTCAGGCTGGTCTCAAACTCCTGGGCTCAAGTGATCCTCCCACCTCGGCCTCCCAAAGTGTTGGGATTACAGGTGTAAGCCACTGTGCCCTGTCAAGTTTGCTTTTTTTTTTTTTTCCAAGTTTGCTTTTTAAATAGGGTTTTCATGCTTGTTGTTGGCTTCACCTTGCTGTGAGGGCAGGGCCTTGTCTGCTCTGTTCCGTGCCACGTCCAACCACCTAGACTTGTGCCTGGCACCCAGTAGGTGCTAGTTAAGGTCTGCTGAGCAAATAAAAGCACGTGTGGGCTGGGCATGGTGGCTCACACCTGTAATCCCAGCACTTTGGGAGGCCGAGGTGGGCGGATCACGAGGTCAGGAGATCGAGACCATCCTGGCCAACGTGATGAAACCCCGTCTCTACTAAAATACAAAAAATTAGCCGGGTATGGTGGCACGTGCCTGTAGCCCCAGCTACTCGGGAGGCTGAGGCAGGGGAATCGCTTGAACCTGGGAGGCAGAGGTTGAAATGAGCCGAGATCACGCCACTGCACTCTAGCCTGGAGACAGAGCAAGACAATGTCTCAAAAAAAAAAAAAGCATGTGTGAATGAAGGGTGGGCTTCTTTGCCCCCCTCCCAACAGTAGGGAAGGAGCCATCTTCTTTCTTAGGATCTACTATGTGTCAGGCATTTGTTCTCTTTAATATTCCCCATCACTTGAAGATTGCAGCTATGGCCTCATTTTATTATTTTTAATTAATTAATTTATTCTTTTTTGAGGCAAGGTCCCACTCTGTCACCCAGGCTGGAGTGCAGTGGCACGATCATAGCTCACTGCAGCCTCGAACTCCTGGGCTCAAGCCATACTCCCACCTCAGCCTTCCTATTAGCTGGGACTACAGGTATGCACCACTATACCTGGCTAAGTTTTGTGTTTGTTTGTTTCTTTTTTTTTTTTTCTGAGATGGAGTTTCACTCTTGTTGCCCAGGCTGGAGAGCAATGGTGTGATCTCAGCTCACCGCAACCTCTGCCTCCTGGGTTCAAGTGATTCTCCTGCCTCAGCCTCCTGAGTAGCTGGGATTACAGGCATGCACCACCATGCCTGGCTAATTTTTTTTTTTTTTTTTTGAGACGGAGTCTTGCTGTGTTGCCCAAGCTGGAGAGCAATGGTGTGATCTCAGCTAAACGTAACCTATGCCTCCCGGGTTCAAGGGATTCTCCTGCCTCAGCCTCCCAGGTAGCTGGGATTA
Source organism: Homo sapiens (assembly GCF_000001405.40). NCBI lineage: Eukaryota > Metazoa > Chordata > Mammalia > Primates > Hominidae > Homo > Homo sapiens. The sequence continues at coordinate 127,583,023 of NC_000003.12, read as the reverse complement.
CAGGCATGTGCCACCATGCCCGGCTAATTTTTTTGTATTTTTAGTAGAGACAGGGTTTTTCCATGTTGGTCAGGGTGGTCTCGAACTCCTGACCTCAGGTGATCCACCCGCCTTGGCCTCCCAAAGTGCTGGGATTACAGGCGTGAGCCACCGTGCCTGGCCCTAATTTTGTATTTTTTTTTTTTAGTAGAGGCGGGGTTTCTCCATGTTGGTCAGTCTGGCCTCAAACTCCCAACCTCAGGTGATCCACCTACCTCAGCCTCCCAAAGTGCTGGGATTACAGGTGTGAGCCACCGTGCCCAGCCTTTTTTTTTTTTTTTTTGAGACAGAGTCTTGCCCTGTTGCCCAGGCTGGAGTGCAGTGGCACGATCTCAGCTCACTGCAACCTCCACCTCCCGGGTTCAAGCCATTCTCCTGCCTCAGCCTTCCAAGTAGCTGGCATTACAGCTGGACGCCACCATGCCTGGCTAATTTTTGTATTTTTTAGTAGAGATGGGGTTTTGGCATGTTGGCCAGGCTTGTCTTGAACTCCTGACCGCAAGTGATTCGCCTGCCTTGGCCTCCCAAAGTGCTGGGATTACTGGCATGAGCCTCCGCACCCGGCCAATTTTTGTATTTTTTGTAGAGATGAGGTCTTGCTATGTTGCCCAGGCTGGTCTGGAACTCCTGAGCTCAAGCAGTCCTCCCTCCTCAGCCTCCCAAAGTGTTGGGATTGCAAGTGTGAGTCACTACACCCTGCTGTCCTTACTGTTTAGATGGGGACTTGATCCCAGAGCCAGTGAGTGGCCCACTGGAGCAACCTGAGCCCCAGCCCATGGCCCGCCCCCTTCAGAGTCTTCCCTCCCTTTCATCCAGAGGTGTTCTGGTGTTTAAGGGCTTGGACCAGCAATGGAAATATTCCTAAGTCCCCCCACCCCTGTCTTGGGCTGCTATTGTTCAGGGATAGCTTTGGTGACAACACAAGCAGGGCTCCTGTTGCGTTTCTGCAGACCTTGCTGACAGGCATGCAGCTCACTGGGCGGCTCCTTGCTGAAGGGGAGGCCTGGGCCTTTGATGTGTTGTCGGGACAAATCTTTTTTCTTTTTCTTTTTTTTTTTTTTTTGAGATGGAGTCTCGCTCTGTCGCCCAGGCTGGAGCACAGTGGCACCATCTCGGCTCACTGCAAGCTCCGCCACCTGGGTTCATGCAATTCTTCTGCCTCAGCCTCCTGAGTAGCTGGGACTATAGGCACATGCCACCATGCCCAACTAATTTTTTTTTTTTTTTGTATTTTAGTAGAGATGGGGTTTCACCATGTTGTCTAGGCTGGTCCCGAACTCCTGAGCTCAGGCAATCTGCCCGCCTCGGCCTCCCAAAGTGCTAGGATTACAGGCATGAGCCACCGCGCCCGGCCACATCTTTTTTACTTTTTAAAATTTACTGAAGTACACCTATGACTTAGGAGTCATCGGTGTGTGGCTTGATGAATTACCACACAGTGAACACACCTGTGTACCCACCACCTGGATCTGACACCCAGACGCTGGCAGGCCTCCCCCAATTACCATGCGCTTCATCTCCCCAAAGGCGCCCTGTCTGCATTTCTCCACGGATCATACGCCTGTCGGCCCTTGTGCCTGGCTTCACGCTATATCACTTCTGAGAGTCATTCGTGTTGCCTGTAGCAGTGGGTTGTTCTTTTTATGCTGTGCAAGTGTCAACCGTAGGAACCTGCCACCATTTATGCCCATGCTCTGGGGCTGCTCCCCGCCTGGGGCTGTCATCCACAGCCTTTACAAGCATTCCTGGTGAAGCAGAGTCACAGGCATCTGGCCCAATCTGTTCAAATCATTCTAAATGTTGGCATCTGTTACGTTCTGGTGCCCCAGGCCACACCTGGATCACCCCGAACTCCCTGCGGAAGTACCTGTTGCTGCCTCCTGAGAGTCCTCTAGCTTAGGAGTCTTGGTTTTCCGACCAGACCCTCAGTCCCCTAACCCCAGAGTGGTTCCCAGGACCCCAGACCACCAGCTCTCCTGTCTTCCAGGCTAGACTCGACCTCTCATGCTCAGAGTGTCATGTGGACCTCTGGCCTATGGACCCACCCTGTCCCTGGCTTCACCCTGCAGCGTGGCCATTGCAGACACACTTGCCTTGCCCCTCTGTGGTACAGCCTCTTCCCCCATGCCCATCTCCAGTTGGAGACCTCCTGTGCATCTTCTAGGCATGGCTCAGTGTCCCCTCCATCTTTGTCTGTGGTGGCAGAGGGAGACAAGGGCCAGAGGGTGCAACCGAGGAGGGCATGGTGCTCAGCTCTGGCCCTCAGCAGCGCTGTGGCCTCACACAAGTCAGTGGCCTCTGAGTTCTGCATGGTGTGGCAGGTCAGAACCATGGCTGACCGCTACCAAGAACTCCTCACGTGTGTGCCTTGTTTGAGGCACTCGGCATCACCACAGCCTCACTTGTTACACCCATTCCATGGTGGGGGGACACAGGCACGGAGAGGACAGGAAGGAAGGGGCAGGGCTGGGCTGTGAACCCAGAGCCTATGCTCTTACCCACGCTGCTCTCATGGGCCCTCAGGACTGAAAGGAGCCAAGTGGCTGTGCCTTGCACATGGAGATGCTTAGCTGAGGGGGTGGCTTTGTTAGACTATTTGCAGGTCGTGAGATAGAGCCTGAGATGGGGGACTGGGCCCCTGCCTGGGGGATTGGGTCGTGACCTGTGTGGAGCCCCACACTGAGCTGCAGTGGGTGGGGAGGGTGGTTTACAGGGGTGCTCTGTGCAGCCCCTCTGATTTTCCCCTGGGAGTCCCAGGTCCAGGGGAAGGAGGACAGTGGCCCAGGCCACACAGCTCACTGGGCGGCTCTCACTCCCCCAGGGCTGGCTGCTGGCGGGATGGACACCCTGGAGGAGGTGACTTGGGCCAATGGGAGCACAGCGCTACCCCCACCCCTGGCACCAAACATCAGTGTGCCTCATCGCTGCCTGCTGCTGCTCTACGAAGACATTGGCACCTCCAGGTGAGGCAGTCACAACGCTGGGCAGGCTCGCTGAGTGTCAGTGGCTTTTCCTGGTGTAGGGGGGTGGTGAGGGTGGGGCAGATTGTGTCTTGGAGAGGGGGTGCATATGTGGCCTCGCCAGTGAGCCAGCTCCTGTGCCCATCCGCCAGGGTCCGGTACTGGGACCTCTTGCTGCTCATCCCCAATGTGCTCTTCCTCATCTTCCTGCTCTGGAAGCTTCCATCTGCTCGGGCGAAGATCCGCATCACCTCCAGCCCCATTTTTATCACCTTCTACATCCTGGTGAGTTCACTGCAGTTGACAGAAAAGCCAACTCCAACTGGGTTAAACAAAAAGGGAATTAACTGCTTCTATAATGAAAATAAGCTTCAGGTATGGCTGGATCCAGGCAGTTAAATGATATCGTTAGGATCTGTTTCTGCATCTCTGATCTCTTTGGGACTTATCTCAGATGAGTTCCCCTCATATGGTGTCAAAGATGGCCAGGAGCAACTTTGAGCTAACATCCTGCCTCTACAACTCAGGCAAACAGTGCCTGTTTGCTGATAGTGCCAGTGTAGACCTGGGATTTCCTCTGACTGGCCCACCTAGGATCCCATCCTCATCCCTGAGCCAAGCACTGTGGCTAGCAAGGAAAGGGGCACTGTGAAGCTGGGAGGGCAGCATCAGCTCAGCTGGACCATATGGACTGAGGGAGCCCACAACAGAATTGGGGAGCTGGTACTAGAGGGGAGGGGAATGGATGCTGGGTGGGGAAAATGCCCACTGCATCCTCCATCCATTCGTCCCCCATCTGTCCATTCTGTGAAACCTCTTTGGAGAAGACATCTTACTTGCTGGGAGAGCCTGCATTGTCACCACTTGGTGGTCCTGGCACGTGTTGCCTGGGGAGAGGTGTCAGGGCTGTGGTTGAGAAGGCAGCTCCAAATGTGGGCTCTCCTGGTATAGGCTCCAGGTGTGGGCTGTCCCAGTATAGGTGCCAGGTGTGGGCTTCAGGTGTGGGCTGTCCAGGTGTGGGCTTCGGGTGTGGGCTCTCCAGGTGTAGGCTTCCGGTGCGGGCTGTCCTGGTGTGGGCTTCGGGTGTGGGCTGTCCAGCTGCCTTCCTTCAGGGCGCCCTTCCCCTGTCTGCAGGGCCTGCCTGACTGGAGTCCTCCCTTCTCTGTGGCCCTTAGATACCACCACATGAGAGCTGAGTGGCTCCCTGGTCCCCTCCTTGTGGTCTAGCCCAGAACTTCCCAGTCAGAGGAGTGGGCTGTGGGCAGGCAGAGAGACAGACAAGGGGCTGGGGAAGCCTGGAGGTTGTAGTGGCCTGATGTCCCTCACACCTACAAGATGGTGGTAGACAGGACTGGGAACTGAGGCCTGCTTTCTTTGCTTCTCTCCCACTGCTTCTCTCACCATTTATTCATTTGTGTATTTATTCAACAGATATTAAACACCTACTGTATGCTAGGCAGATGTCCTTTTGTGGGGTAAGGGGGAGTGCAGGCAGGGAGAAAGAGCCAGGGCTAAATGTCCAGGAACATATAACAGGGCCCAGCCCATCAACTTTTGGGGACTTTGTCCTAAAGAGTTCAGGAGGCAGTGTTAAGAGTGGACTCAGGAAGTCCAGCTCTGAACCCCAGCCATGCTGCTGTGTGACCTGGGGCCAGTGGCTTGGTCTCTCTGTGCCCCAGTGCCCTTCTGCATAACAGATGTTGATCTGCTTTAGCTATGGTGTTCATGTGAGCACCTATGAAGTCGTCTGCATAGCTGCAGCCCAGTGGGAGCCTGGCATACAGTAGGCGTGTGGTAGTTTGTTGCTTTTACTGCCTGCCCTGCTGACACAATTTCTCATGGCACAAAAGACAGAGTATATATGGATCTGGGCATGTGTCAGAAGACCCAACTGAGACTCACAGAAGCCAGTTTTTGACTGAGAAACTGGGCAGTTCCTGGGCCTCAGGCACAGCAGGATTTGGGGGCACAGCAGTGCTGCTGGGGCACCATCTCCATCTCCCACTCAGCCTGGGATCTCCCCGATGGCCCTGCTCTCTCGCCATCTGCCCTTGTGGCAGCAGGGTGGTGTCCATGGTGCCAGGCTTGCATGCTGTCCGTCTGCCTTTCCCAGCAGCCCCACCTGACATCCTGGGTCTCTCTCACAAGGCTCCCTTGGGGCCTATGCCCTTCCCTGAACTAGCCCTGAGGCCAGGGGAATGGCACACACCACTGGCCAGTGCTGCGTCCCAGGCCCATCCCTGAAGCCAGGAGCGGTGGACTCAGCCTCACCTGGAACCACCGAAGTGGGGGTGAGAAGGGAGAGGAAGGGGATGGATATACCAGGCCGATAAGCACCACAGATGCTGAGCAGGCACTTTGTGAAACCTGCTGGGCTGGTGGCTTCCCTAGAGGTCTCTGCACCTCTTCTCGGTGACCTTTTGCCTGGTCCCGCATGCCTCAGAATTAAAACCATGAATACGGTAATAACAGCAAATGTATACTTGGCCCTTCCTGGGTGCCAGGCAGGCTTCTGCTGCATCTGTTAATCCATTTGACCCAACAATCAAACACAGTAGGTTTTGTTTCTGCCCCCATTTTATAGATGAGAAAGCTAAGGTACAGAGCCAGGAAGCAGCAGCGTGCTGCTTGTGATGTGAACCTGGCCCATCTGGCTCCACCATGCGCACTCCTGCTCACCAGCCCAAGGCTGTTGGTGCTAGCCAGGAAGCTGGGGCCCCGAGAGGGAGGGCCAGGCTGGAAGTCACCTGCAGTTGAGGGTCTGCAACTCTGTGAGCCTTGCTTCCTGGAGTGATCCCCACCTCCCTGTGTCCCACCCTGACTTTGCGCCTTCCTCCTTTCCGACCTCAGGAATCAAAGGCTCCTGTAGATATGGGGGTGGGCTTGCTGCCCCTGCCGATGCAGAGGCTCTTGTTCCCTGACTGCCACACCACTCCCTTGCCCACCAGGTGTTTGTGGTGGCGCTGGTGGGCATTGCCCGGGCCGTGGTATCCATGACGGTGAGCACCTCGAACGCTGCAACTGTTGCTGATAAGGTGCGGCTGGGCCCTCTGAGGGAGGCCAGGGAGGCCTGGCCTGGGGTGGGCTGGGGATGCTGGTCCAGGCTGACGCTGTGCCCACTCTGCGTGCAGATCCTGTGGGAGATCACCCGCTTCTTCCTGCTGGCCATCGAGCTGAGTGTGATCATCCTGGGCCTGGCCTTTGGTGTGTGTACCGCTGGGCTCTTGGGCCCTGGCGATGCTCTCCCCTGCCCCTCCCTGGCTGTGGGCTGACTCTGGAGTGGTCACCTGGGCTGGCTCCTGCCTGCTGACCAGCATGTTTCTTCCAGGCCACCTGGAGAGTAAGTCCAGCATCAAGCGGGTGCTGGCCATCACCACAGTGCTGTCCCTGGCCTACTCTGTCACCCAGGTAAGAGGGTGAGTGTGGGCAGGGGACGCTAGGAGTCAGGGCACCAGGCACCCACTGCTTCTGGGTCTGGGTCAGGTTTCCAGTCTTTATCACCTTCAGAGTTCTCAAAACTTTGCACCTGAGAAATCACATGGGGTGCTTGTTACCGAGGCACATTCTGGGGTCCCCTGGAGATTTGGATCCAGTGGGCCAGGGCGCCAGGATGGGAGGCTCAGGACTTGCCGTTTTAATAAGGAGTTCAGGTAGGGATGGTGCAGGTCCGCAGACCCCCCTGAGAAGCATGCATCTAGAGGCCCCTTTCTTAGATTGGGGGCAGGGACTGCACCTTGTCCATCTCTGCCCCCTTCCCCATGTGACTCAGCCCAAGACTGGGCCGGCTCTGGATGCTGCAATCAGTTGGGCAGGACATGGCCAGGGAGCAGACTGGGGCAGGTGAGTTGAGGGTCAGGCCAAGAGGCTGAACTTGGTGTGGTGGAGAGCTTAGGGGGCTTTGCATCAGGGAAAGCCCCTGGGAGAGAGAAGCCTTGAGATCCTCTCCCTTCCTCCCTTCCTGCTTGCCCCTGCAGGGGACCCTGGAGATCCTGTACCCTGATGCCCATCTCTCAGCTGAGGACTTTAATATCTATGGCCATGGGGGCCGCCAGTTCTGGCTGGTCAGCTCCTGCTTCTTCTTCCTGGTGAGGTTCAGGCTGGGGCAGCTGGGGTGGCTGGGGCCTTAGGGCCAGGTAGGGATTGGATTCCTGGGTTTCTGGCTGTGGGTCTGGGCTGGCGCCCCCAGCACCTTCTCAGCCCTGCCTGTCTCTGTAGGTCTACTCTCTGGTGGTCATCCTTCCCAAGACCCCGCTGAAGGAGCGCATCTCCCTGCCTTGTGAGCAGCTGGCCGGCGGCTCTGGGACAGGCGGGGATGGGAGGGAGTCTACCGGGCCACTGTAGAGCTGGTAGCTGGGAGCTGGAGCTGTAGAGTTCCAGGCTGGGAGCTGGAGAGCCCTGGGTGAGAGGGAGGCCTAGAGGGGCCCCGGGGGACACACCAGGCTTGAGGGTAGTAGGTGCTGGAGGCAGAGCCTGGCCTGTCCAGGGTGGGACCTCACGACCCACCCTGTCCGGCCCCCAGCTCGGAGGAGCTTCTACGTGTATGCGGGCATCCTGGCACTGCTCAACCTACTGCAGGGGCTGGGGAGTGTGCTGCTGTGCTTCGACATCATCGAGGGGCTCTGGTGCGTGGGGGCCGCAGGGTGTCTGCCTCGTGGGGGCATGGGAAGTGGGCGGCAGGGTGTCCACCCGCTGGGGGCATGGGGAGGTGTGGAGTCAGCATGGGGCTAGGAGGCCCCGCGCTGACCCGCCTTCTCCGCAGCTGTGTAGATGCCACAACCTTCCTGTACTTCAGCTTCTTCGCTCCGCTCATCTACGTGGCTTTCCTCCGGGGCTTCTTCGGGTGAGTCTGTGGCCGCCGGCGCCCCCGCGTGGCTGCCGGCGGAACTGCGCCTTCTTCCAGCATGGGTGTGAGGATTGAAGCTGAGAGGCTGTGTATGCATACAGTGCGCATGCGCACGCACATACATACATGCACTTGGGCACACACATACAGATACACATGCACATGCACACAGATATACGCACACCCACCCACATGTGCATGGACACGTGCACATGCACACACGGATGCACAAGCATGCACACATGCACATGCACACACAAACACGCACATACGGATACACACGGGCATATGCACACAAACATGCACGTGCACACCCACATGCATGCATACACACATGAACACGTGCTCAACATATACATACATGTAGATATATGCACATATCCACATATACATACATATATATGCACATTGTATGTACAGTACACACAGACATACTCTCCCCACGAGAGAGAGAGTGACTATGCACGGTGTTCTACATTGCTGGTTTTTATTTAATAATATATTAACTCATTCATTCGCAAGCATTCATTGAGCACCTACTGTGTGCCAGACACTGCTAGAGCCAGAAGATGCGAGGCCCACAGCGGATGCAAATCCTGTCCTCACAAAGCTTGTACCCTGTTGGGGGAAGACTTAAGTGGGGAGCAGGTTTGGGGTGGGAAGTCAGTTGGATTCTCTGGGGGTGAGTACACTGCTGTGCACATGTGCATCTGCAGAAGCGTCTGTGAGATGGGATGCTGAAGACATGGGATTGGGGGTCCCACTCCAGACCTTAATGTGGTCGGAATGTGGGTGTTTTGTCCCCCCTTTCTCACCTGCCAGGTCTTGTGGGGAGGGGATCAGCCTCCCACCTGGGTGAAGCTGGGAGAGGGCCAGACTGGTCCATGGCCCCAGCTTGGATCTTTGCACACAATTTCTCCCCTGAGCCTCAGGCTCCTTTTTGTAAATTGGGTGTAGTGTGTCCCCCTTGGAGAGTTGCCCTGAGGGCCGAGGGACGAGGTCAGAGTGGAGTGGGTGGTAACATGAGCAGCAGGGGTCACAGGAGTGGGGGCGGAGGCCACAGCCAATGTCTCCTGAGTGCTTGGGCAGGCACTGTTGAAGCCTCATGATTTATGTCCATTCTTCCTCCACACGGTGTCCACACACCCATTTCACCATGAGGAAGCAGGCACAGATGCCCCCCGCCTGAGCTCACACAGCCAGGGGGAGGAGGGCTGGGTTCCAAAACAAGTCTAGATGGGCTCTGGGGTCCAGCTCACAGGCCCACTCAGAGTGGGTGTCAGGCGACTGTTGGTCAATTCCTTCCTTATCTGGTGGCCCCATCAGCCTGGAGAGGAAGGCTCTTCCTGAATCACTCAGTGAGGCTTCCATGCCCCTCTTTTCCTTTTATCAGCTCGGAGCCCAAGATCCTCTTCTCCTACAAATGCCAAGTGGACGAGACAGAGGAGCCAGATGTACACCTACCCCAGCCCTACGCTGTGGCCCGGCGGGAGGGCCTGGAGGCTGCAGGGGCTGCTGGGGCCTCAGCTGCCAGCTACTCGAGCACGCAGTTCGACTCTGCCGGCGGGGTGGCCTACCTGGATGACATCGCTTCCATGCCCTGCCACACTGGCAGCATCAACAGCACAGACAGCGAGCGCTGGAAGGCCATCAATGCCTGAGGGCAGCTGCCAGGGCCTGTGGAGGACAGGCCAGAGAGGAGGCCAGCAGGCCCAGAGTCCCCAGGGGAGGAGGACCAGGTCAAGGGACGTTCTGTGGGCAGTAGCCCTGTGTGGCCCTGTTCCCACCATGAGTCTGGAGGCCCCACCTCCCTGGGGCTCCCAATCCCCTTTGCCATCTCTGCTCTCACTGGGGACCCTCCTCCCCTTCCCACCTGCTCTCATACTGCTCAGTGACATGGCCCAGGCTTTCCTTCCAGGGCCATGCTTGGCAAGGTTGGCTGAGGGCACCCTCCTTCTCTGCACCCTTGGCACGAGGGCAGGGCTGGCTCTCCCAATGCCTCCATCCCATCCCCATGGTGCTTTGGCCTCCTCAAAGCATCCACCATGGTGGATGGACTGAAGTGTGTATATTTTCTTGATCTATTTTTTAATAAAAAGGAAAAGGAGCAGAAGGTGCTAATGTGGAGGTTTTGCAGGAATACTGGGGCTGGTTCCTTTCAGGAGCCTGAGGGCTGGGTGAGGGGCTGGGAGGCTCAGGGGGCCTCTGCTCAACCAAGGAGCAGTCCCCAGTGCCCAAGCCCTGGGCTGGCTGCTGGGGAGGTGAAGAGAAACAGGATCCCAGCTGCCGCTGCCCCTGCCCCTGGGCCCATCTGAGTAGGGGGGACAGACATGGAGAGAGAGGAGAACTATGTTTTGTGAGCCAGCCCCTCTCCCTTTGTCAGACACACACTGTTGTCTTGGGCAGCCGGTTCTCTCTGCTCAGCTCCATTAAAACGCAGAATGGACTTACTATTGCCATCTGTAAAATGCGGAGAAGACCCATCCTGCAGGGCCTTTTGTAAGGATTGGAAAACACTAAGCACGAGTGGCTGGCGTACAGTAATGAACGATAAGGATAGCTCTTATTTTTAGCCTCAAGAATAGTGCTTGGCACATAGTAGGCCCCCAGCAGACAGGACTCGGGGACTGATGTTTGTCATAAGGATGGGTGTGGTTGGCTGAAAATGGGAGTAAATCAGAGCAAAGCACTGGGATCATAAGGCATGAGTAGGGGAGAGGGGCCCACTTGTCCCTGCCACTGCCCTTGTACCTGAGTTCGGCTTTGAGCTTTTTGGCAGCCAGAGTGAAAGGGAGTTGCTGCCAGTTATGTAATCCCCAGAGTTGGAGAGGAGGAGCCCATCCAGGACACAGCCAACTGCATGCTTCAGAGCCTGGGGAGGTCTCAGCCCTGGCTGTGGGGACCCTGAGGATCAGGCTGTTGCCCGCCTCCGCGATCAGCCTTTTTTTTTTAGGGGGGAATGGGGTGCCGAGGGCACAAGCTCCAACACAGCTCATGTCTGTGGGGCCAATGTGTCAGGCTCCCTGGGAGGGCCTGGAGGGTTGATAGCGGACAGGGCCAACAGTACGGCCAGTGAGCTGGACTCCTGGGCTGCAGGGGGTACTGCAGGGTGCCCCTGAATGGCATACTTTATCGGGGCCTCTCAGCTCATGTAAAAGCCTGGTAATCAGGGAAGGCAAGCTCACGGCATTCTGAGTGAGCGGGGTAAGGGTTGGGGCCAGCAGGGATTTGACCATCAGATCCACATGCAGTCCAAGATGGCACAGTGTCAGCCGAAGTTTGCTGGCTGCAGTGAATGAGCAGAGAGGCATCAACAGAAGAAAAGAGACCATTTTTATAATTTTTAAGTTTGTTTTTTAAAAATAGGTCATATATGTACATGGCAAGAAAAAAAAAGGTTCATGCAGTACAGGAGGGTATTTGGTGAACGATAAATCTCCCTGTGTGGCACTGAATTCCTCTGTCCCCCTCCTGAAGCACCCAGGGTCTCCATAACCTTCCAGAGCCATCCTGTGTTCACACCAACGGATGTGTATATCATCCCTCTTTCTGTAATGCTAATGTCCTGTAGCTCACTCCAATGGATCTTGGAGATCATTCCATGTCAAGTGGAGGACTGCTTCACCCCTGCAGCTACATATATATGGATATATGGCAATTTATAAACCACTTCCCTTTTGTTTCTGAAAAATTTTGCAACAACAAACAAGGCAACATCAACAATCCTTATAAATTTGCTTTTGGTAACTCATGCAAGTAGAATTGCTGGAGCACACAGTCTTAATTAGTTTTAATTACTCTTATTAGTCTTCTGCAGAGATCAATAGTTGTCCTCCAATATATGTTGTTTTTCTCCATTGGAAGAGAATCCCTGATTTTTCGCTAGATACACAGCTGTCTAGAATAAAGACTGCATTTTCTAGCCTTCCTTGCAGGTGGGTTCTGGCCAATGGATGTAAGTATGCATGCAACTTCCTTAGAGATAAGAGGTGGCCCTTCTTTCCTGCTGACTGGAATGTGCTTATAATGGCTGGAGTGATAGCAGCCATCTTGAACCATAGGGTAATCTGGGGAATGGAAGTTTCTCATTGCAGTGCGACAGGATAGAGAGAGCCGGTGTCATGGACACTGTAGTGCATCTGTAACGACCTCGGACGTCCTACCTTCAGATGACTTTTGGAACGTATGAGAGAAATGAGTGGCTATCTTGTTCAAACCACTTTTGATGTTTCTCTTACAGTTGAACCTAATCTGAACCAAAACACCCATTCCAAGAGGCTATGCCAGCTTTCATTCCCACCGGCACATCCTCACTGACGTGGTATGCCAGTCACATTTTCAGTCTTTCTGAAGAGCCCTGCTCAGACCACGTCTGTGTGGTGTCTGGGTGCGAACAGGCATTAGGCAGAGGAGCGGCTGGATGCGAGGTTTCTGGAGTCTTAACGTGGTGACAGAGTTCACTGTATGTGGCCAAAGTCTAATCTCACCTTCCCACTGCTGCTGCACATGGACTGTGGACCTTGGGCAGGTCACAGCTTCTCCTTGATCCTCAGTTTCTTCACTAGTGGTACAGGGTAGCAGGTGACTGGTTGCCACTGGTATCCATTTTTCCTCCCTCAGTAACTGCACCCTCATGTTTGTGGGTCAGTGAAGCACCCACCTTAGAGGTGTCACCATTGAGAATTTAGGGAAGAAGACCTTGGACACAGGGTCCTCAGTTGCTGCCAAGCTCAGTGCCAGCCACATGGCCCTGAAGCAGCAGAGCTCTGAGACCTGCAGGTCCACCCACCCAGAGCACTGGAGCATGGTGATATAACGGGTGAACGCATGGCCAGTGATGTATGGGTTTGCCAGGGCTGCCATAACAAAGTACTATAGATGGGGGCCTTCAACAACAGGGGTTTATTTTCTTACAGTTCTGGAGGCTGGAATTCCAAGATCAAGGTGTCCACTGTTGGTTTCCTCTGAGGCCCCTCTCCTGGGTTTGCAGTCAGCCGTCCCCTTTCTGCCTTCTTGAGTGGTCTTCCTTCTGTGTGTGGGGTCCCTGCTGTCTCTCTGGGTCCGAATTTCCTCTCTTTATATGGACACCAGTCAGATTAGATTAGGACTCCCAATGAATGGCCTCTTTTCACCTTAGTCACCTCTGTAAAGGCCAAATCTCCAAATGCAGTCCCCTGCAGAGGTGCCTGGGGCTGGGGCTTCAGTGCATGAGTGTTGGGGGACTGACTTCAGCCATAACAAATGGCATTAGAGCCTCTCTCCCTCTGACCTCCTGACACTGTGCAAGAGCCTGAGACCTTACCAGATCCACGGAATAGGCAGAAAAGCCCTAAGCATAACTGAGGTTAAGTCTTCCTCCTGCTCAGCAGAATGGGGCCATGGTGGAAACTCAGCAACATTCTAGAAAATTCCTGGTGTGCTGTGGTGGGATTCCCCCCGCTATGTGGGACTGGGTCTTCTCCAGGACAGCCCCAGGTTCTGCCGTTTCCCTCGGGACAGCTGGAGGGGCATCGCCCTGCCCTGCCCCATTAGAGGAGGGATGAGGCCGTGTGACTAACGCTGGCTACTGAGATGTGAGTAGAGGTGGCATGCATCAGTCACTTCCAGGTGGGAGAATTTAATGGCCAGTACATTGCTCCAGCCAGCCACGGTGATGGCAGAAGCATGTGGTAAAGATAGAGCCTCTGCCAGCCTGGGTCCCTGAGGGGGCTCAGTGGGAAGAATCCCCCTGCTGAGCATGCACTGAACATGTGACCAGAAAAAGAAGTGAACCCTACCCTTTAAGCCTCCAAGACTGGAGGCTGTTTGTTACTGCAGCACATCCTGGCATGTCTCAACCTCTCCAAGGGTTAGCTGAGGTGGACACCTGCTACAGTAGCTGTGATTAATTTGATTTCCAAGTAGAGAGAGCAAGGCCTGGGCTAGGGACAAGTAACAGCTCCTGGGCTCAAAGGGTCACCCCCTCAGCCCCTGTGTCACATGGGCTCATTTTCAGACTCCATGGATCATTCTGTTAGTTTCTCCTCCCCTTCATAGCTTCCTTAGGGATGCCTGTGCCAGGGTCATAACCTGAATGCCCTAGTCTTTCCACCTCCCTTCAGCTTCCAGTGGCCTCATCTCTGTGCTTTCGGGTGACTGTGGAGGGGTGAAGGCATCTGGGGAGGAGCTAGTGTGCTGTGATGGCACAGGCCATGTACTAAGTGTGTGCTGGGCACCCAGCGCCGAGCTGCCTTCTGGAGTGCCAGCCTAGGAAGCACTGTCCCCTTCCCTGACCAACTGTTCCTGCTGTGCCACTTGCAGATCAAGGGGCCGGGCCTGGGAGAGAGGGCTGTGCCCGAGCCCAGGAGGAGTGAGCCTGCTCCTCTCCCAGTGACGATGGGGTAGGTACCTCTTGGAGCAGCTGGTCGGCCTCATGGGCTGTCCCAGAGATGCTCAGGTGGCCTGCACCTGGTGCCTGGATGTCAGACACCATGGCACCGAACCCGTTGGCAGATGGGCTCCCTGGAGGCCTGAGCCCACCCTCTGCCCCAGGCAGGTGATCAAGATGCGGCAAAGCCAGCCTGGAGAAGCAGTTGCTAAGCCATGAGTATGCCTCTCCTCGATCTCAGAAATGCCTTTTGAGAGCTGCAAGGGGTTAGAGGCACCTGCTCAGCACTGAGCCTGGTGAATAGACCTAGTGTGAGTGGCCTAGAGTGAGTGGCCACTTGCTTCTCCCCATGGCTTTGTAGCAGAGCTGGGCTGGAGACTGGACCCACACTCCCCAGGGCTGCAACAACTGAGTGAGGCCAAAAGGATATTGGTCCCAAGCTTCCCGTGTCCCTGGGGATGCGTGCGCAAGTTCTGCCTTGGGACTTGGGCTCAGTCCCGGGCACAGCAAACGTGAGGTCTTCAGGACTTCCCACTCTGCAGCCTCTCAGAGGACAGTCTCATCTTCAAAGCTGGCAATCCTGTTCACACCCATGGGTCATTCACAAGAGGTCATTCTGCTAAAGTCCTGGTAATTATCCTGCAAGACAGGTTTACCTATCCCATTTTACAGATGAGGACACCGAGGCTCAGAGAGGTGCAGTTATTTGCCCAAGATCCTAGACCTCATGGGACGCAGAGCTGGGTGTTAAGCCCAGGTCTGCCTGAATCTGCAGCCTGACTTTACCCGGGACGCAATACCCCTCTCAGGAGGACCCAGGTCAGTGGAGGGGTTCAGGGAGAGCAATTTTACCAAACTGCCCCCCTTAACAACATCAGATGTGAAAGGTGTGAATGAGAGGAGCTGGCTTTCACATGTCACATCGGAGAGGAAGGCAGGCTCATCTGGCACTGCACATGTTTTTGGTTGATGATTTAGGGGGATATGAAAGTAGTTCTAAACCCTATGTTCTGGCAGCATTCTAAACACTCGCCATGGGTTATACAGCTCCACTTTACAGACGGGGAAACCTGAGGGAGTGAGGTCACATGGCCAAATACATGGCGGTAGGGTGGGTTTTGACTCCAGGCAATCGGGCTGAGTCCAGGCCTCTGACCACTGCGCCGCACTGTCACATCTGACAGAAACACCCTCAGCACTGGAAGGGCCCCGAGCCTTGTTTCTTGGGCCATTGCATCAAAATGAGGAGCCTGTAGCCACTCCAAAACCAGTCTGGAGGATGTAGAGAAAATGCCGAAAGGATTGCTGGGATGGGACTGAGAGCGCCTGGGGTGATTATAGCAGAGCGGGGTCTGGAGTGCACACCTCTGGAGCATAGAACTAACTCGTTTCCACTCCTAGCTCTGCCACTTCCTCAAGTGAGCTGGCAGGCTTCCTGTATTCTGTGCCTCAGTTTCCCCACCTATAATGTGGGGCTGATTGTGCCTCCTTGGCTTCCATGAAGCCCCCACCCCATCCCGTGCAGGGCCTGGCCCAGTGCAGCATCTCCATCCGGGGAACTGTCCATGCTCTGTTTCTCAGCAGGACCTTCTCTGGAGGGTATAGGGGCTGCTTGTGGGGAGTGGCCCGTGTAATTGGCTCTGGGATCAGGAGCGTGCCCAACGATTTATTTCTCATATTGTTTGGGGACGGTGACTCAGCTGAATGCATTCTTCAAATCAAGATCCAAAAACCTGCTGTGAAGAGTGTTTAAAGCCGGCTCCGGGAGGCTCTGGGATGCAAGATCAGTTCTGCTTGGCTGGAGGCGAATGGTATTCTGGGGAAGACAGGGCCTAATTCGAGGTTGAAAATGTGAGAGCCACTCCAAGGAGCTGGCCCTCCCCATGGGCTGGGGCTTGCCCGGGCTGGAGCTGGGCCATGGGCTTGTGGGGCACACCCCTCACACCATTGGCCTCCCCACTGTGAGCACCTGGGCTGCCTCAGGGGCTGGCTCTGAAACCCTTGACTACAGACTGGAGTGGGTGACAAGCACCCTCCTCTAGACATTGATGCAGCCCTTGTGACGGTGGCCTTCCAGAAGGTTCCTACTCTTCCCAATTCCAAATGCTGACCCTCATCATCCTCATAAATGCAGGTATCCTGTGGGCTTGCACAATGTTTAAAATATTAGTTGTCAGATTTTAAATATTACAAGATTTCATATATTGTCCAAATATTAGGCTTCTCATTAAAAAAAAAATCAGAAGATGTGACAGTCTCAGATTGGGACATTTCTCCCCCAGTTCTGACTGGTCCTCCTGGCATGGACCATCATGTCTCCTGCCTGGCTCCTGCACATATCAGAGTTTCAGACATCCCTGCAATCCTGGGCCCTGTCATCAGGAGGATTCTCCCAGGCTACATCTTGTCCTTCCCACTCATAGCATTCTGCACATGTTTACTGAGCACCTACCTAGTATGCCTGTGCCATGCTCTATAGTGATCTAGATATAGAAGACAGACAATAAAACAAATTACAACCTTGTGTTGCCATGGAGTCCAGTCTTTTTTGCCTGCCCAGTCTTCTTAAAATAATTTTTTTTAAATAAAATAGAGATGGGGTCTCCCTATGTTGCCCAGGCTGGTCTTGAACTCCTGAGCTCAAATGGTCCTCTCGATTCAGCCTCCCAAAGTGTTAGGATCACAGGCGTGAGCCATCATACCTGGCCTGCCTGCCCAGACTTCTAAGATGCCCCCAACTTCCCTTCTGGGTACTGGCCCTTGCTTGGGCTCCTTGGTAGGAACATGCTCAGGCCTAGCCAATGAGGAACGTGCATGTGACTCAGGCTGAGCCAATCGGAATCACTGAGCTGCTTCTGGAATTCTTGAGAAAAAGAAGTGGCTTACTGCAGGGTTTGCCGAGCCGGTGGAATGTGGTTCTGGAGCTGCTCTAGCTCCCTTGTGAGAGTCTCTGAGGATGAGGCCATCAGGGCCATGGCAGAGCTTTGGAGAGGGGCAGGGCTCAGGAGCAAGCTCTCCGCCCAGCACCTGGATCCATCCGAGCCTGAGCAGGGCATGGCAGGCGTTTCCAGGCATTGCAGCCAACACAGCTCCTTTGTGGCTCAAGCCAGCTTAAGTTGAGTCTTGTCACTTGTAACTAGAGGAGCCCTGTCTTATGTGGGTGAGGGGTGAGCCAGGCAGAGGGATACCCAGGGGCTGCGGGCATGGGGAGGAGATCCAGCTCCAAGCTAGGGGCAAGGGCCTTCCAACCGGCAAGTTTGAAGGGTGAGCAGATGTCAGGGAAATGAAGGGAGGAGCAGAAAGGGAGGGCATTCTAGTCTGGGGAAGCCATGAGCACAAGACTGCTAGATCAGTGTGGATTGAAATAAGACGGGACTCTTAGAACCGTGGTTCAAATAAGGAATGAAATAGCGTCTTAGCTTTTACTAATTTTTTCCTTCATGCAGATGGCAATGATCCTCTTATAGTTTGACCAAAAAATTTCAGAAAGTGACAGATGTAAAATTAAATATTCTTAGCAGAGCAAGAAATGATCATACAAGACACCTCCTTGTGGGTCTTGCAGCCCGGAGAGCATCGCAGGTCGTGCTGGCAAAGCCCAAAGTCCAGGCACCTTAAAGACTTCTTTGTCCAAATAACCTTTCTGCAGACACTTTTATACTAACAGAAAATAGAATGGGATTTTACATTTTCTCATCAGTCTCCACACTGGAGAGAGAGAGAGAAAGAGAGAGAGAGAGAGAGAGAGAGAGAGAGAGAGAATATATATATGTGTATATAACATTTTCAATTCCCCACGTTATCAGAGGCAGCCTTATGATTCCAAAGAGCTCCTGTGTTTTTGCAGCTTTAGGGAAGGGGGAACATTTCTTCCTTCTTGTCTTGCTGAGATTTCTTTCACTGGCGGTAAGAAAGGCTTAGAGTTCTCAAGGCCAACTGTTGAAATTTCATTATTTGGCACCAAAAGGAGAAAAAAAAGCAGGCTCAACAAGCTTACAATTCAGACTACAGAAAGGTGAAGAGCAGGCTAGGATGAGTCAGTAGGAGAATTGGGGCACATGCCATTTGCACCATCGGTGAGCGGCATGCCCCCTGAATGTGCCTGGGGAGGTGCAATTGTTCAACTCAGCCAGTGAGGGGGGTATGAGGGTGCGCTGCTGTGGACACACATAGCCGGACCAGAGGACCTTAAATAAAGAGGGGATGGAGCTTGAGGTGAGGAGGGGGCAGGCTAACCAGTCCATGCCCCAGGCTCCCTCTGGCTTTGTGCTCTGTTGGCCTCAGCCCTGGCTCCTATCCCAAAGGTGGCCTCATAGTCCTGGGATGGCAGCTGTGGCTCCTGCTGTCCAGTTCTGTCTAGGTCCCTGGGGCTCTGGGCCAGAAGCCCTTCCATGTGAGGAGCTAGCACATCAGCTGTACTTAATAACTCTCACTTTCCCCTCGTTGCCCAAAAATTGCTGATCAAGTCACCCCTGCTTGCAAGGGAGGTTGGAAAAAGTAAGGTTTCCTTTTTTGAGGGGGTTGGGCACATGCTGTCTCCCATAAATCAGTAACAGAGAAAGAAAACAGATATTAGATAGGCAATTGGCAGTCTCTGCTACATGTACTAAGATATACAAAGAATCAGTTAATGAACTGGTGCTGGTGCTGATGATGGTCATGCTGGTGGTGATGGTGGTGCTGATGGTGGTGCCAGTGGTGGTGGTGATGATGGTGCTGCTGGTGGTGCTGCTGGTGGGTTTGGTGGTGGTGGTAGTGGTAGTGATGGTGGTGGGGATGGTGGTGGTGCTGGTGCTGGTGGTTTTGGTGGTGGTGGTAGTGGTAGTGATGGTGGTGGTGATGGTGGTGGTGGTGGTGGTATTGGTAGTAATGTTGTTGTTGGTGGTATTGGTGGTAGTGGTAGTGATGATGGTGGTGGTGATATTGATGATGATGGTGGTGTTGATGGAGGTGCTGGTGGTGGTGCTGGTGGTGTTGATGGTGGTGCTGGTGGTGGTGATGGTGGTGCTGGTGGTGGTGATGGTGGTGCTGGTGGTGGTGATGGTGGTGCTGGTGGTGGTGCTGGTGGTGGTGGTGCTGGTAGGATGGTGGTGGTGGTGCTGGTAGGATGGTGGTGGTGGTGCTGGTAGGATGGTGGTGGTGATGATGGTGGTGCTGGTGGTGCTGGTGGTAGTGGTGTTGTACCACCAGCAGCCAGTCATAGTTTCCCATAGTCATTCAGATAGGTCTTTCAAATGTTACCTCATAAATTAAG
This sequence comes from Homo sapiens, assembly GCF_000001405.40. Taxonomy (NCBI): domain Eukaryota; kingdom Metazoa; phylum Chordata; class Mammalia; order Primates; family Hominidae; genus Homo; species Homo sapiens. The sequence continues at coordinate 127,563,560 of NC_000003.12, read as the reverse complement.
ACATCATGGATACAATTCACTCCGATCATGTGTAATCCTTACTTCTTATTTCCCTCCTCTGACCCCTACAGTAGGCAACTACTCTCCCACTCTCTCAAATTTTGTGTTTATCCATGCAGTATGTATCTGTGACAGTATGTGGCATTGTCTTGTGTGCATTTAAATTAATCAAATAAGTTCATACTGATCACTTTCTTCCATAACTTGATGTTTCATTTCATTTTGTTTTGGTGACTCATCTATGTTGATACTTGCAACTACTGCATAGTATTCCATTATACAAATACAGCATCATTTATTTGTCAGTTCTCCTGACAATTCAGGTTGTTTGCAAGCTGTGACAGCAAACAACATCCCCATGCATCATCTGGTGTCTGACTTTCTGAAGCCCTCCCTAGGGTGTATCTTGAGGAATAAATTTTCTGGGGTCATGTGCATACACATCTTCAACTTCATTCGATGCTGCCAAAGTTTTCTTCCAAGTGGTCACAGCAATCCCTGGAGCTTTTGAAACAAGGACGTGACATAGACCAGGAGTTCTCAAACTTGGGTCCTGGCTGCTACGGATTTCTGAAACTCTTTGATGGGGTTTATGAGGTCAAAACGATTTTCACAATAAGCTATGATCTGCCTTTCTCACTCATTCTGTCACAGTGCATGGTGGAATTTTCCAGGCATGCATGTGATGACATCACAGCTCTGACAGCCAGTGAGATGCATGCTCATGGCTTCTTGTGCTTTCGAAGCTCTCCATTCTAATGAGTATGGTAAACGTTGATCGACAAAACTCTCCCTGACAAAAGCTCTTTGAGGGCCTCAATTTTTAAGAGTGTAAAGGGGTCCTGAGACCAAAAAGTTTTAGGGTTGCCAAGGGACAGACCCACCATTTAGACCTACAGAGCTGGGGAGCACGACGGGCAGTCCACGGGCGAGTTGCTTCAGGGCTGCTGTTCCTCCTTGCCGGGTTTACTTCTTGGGATGCTGAGACAAAGTGATTTCAAATTCAGCCGGTGGAAACAGGCCCTTGTTCTGTCGACTGCCCCTGCTGCATGGATCCTCAGGGGGCAACTCGAGCTCTGGGAACCATCTTGCTGGGATGCACTCCTCACATTCTGGGCCTATCTCAGAGCCATTCCAACTGGCCCCATTTGGCCCATGGGGGTTGCTAACAGTGCGTCATTGATCCAACCTCTCTGATTCCATCCCATTTTGGGAAACTGTGATTTTCAGGCCAGAGGGACACTGCCAGATCTGAACAGACCGGCTGGGAAGGTCAGCACTATGCAGAGGGAGGCAGCCGTGTGAGGGAAATAAGTCGGATGCTTGGGTTGCAAGTTAGACCCTACTTCTAAGAGTGACCTTGGGTGAGTAATTTTACCCTCTGGGTCTCAGTTTCCTCTTCTGTAACATAGGGACGATAATATCTCTTCCTGTCGGGTATTAGCCGATCTATAAAATAGCTGTTGCTCAGAAGGCTCTTGACAACTGTGGGTTCTCCAAAGAGACGAGAACTTGGCTTATTTCTCCAACATCTATGTGTGTCCTCATGCTAGAATCACATTCACAGGCCTCGGCTGCTAGGAATGATTCTGCTCACTGCCAGCTGAGAGGGCAGGGACCCAGATGAAGTTCTCTTCCAGAATAAGTCAGCAATCTGTCCAAGATGGGGAAGACTTGCAGGATGGGGAAGACTTGGCGATAGAGCATATTATGTGAAGAAAGAGGGTCCAAAGTGGTCACTGGCTGACTTGTTCTATGGAAAGGCCCAAGCTGGCAGTGAGTCCATGGAACAGGCAGCAGGGGGTGGGGAATATGGGGCTGCTCCACCTGGCTGTGAGACAGCGCGGAGTGTGATGGCTATGTTAGGTCTGATCTGCCACTCCAGAGCCTGCTGCAGCCAGCCTGGGGAGCAGCTGGGTTCCTAAAACTGTAATAGACAGTGGTGGCTCCACAGAGCAGGCACACCTAAGGGGAAAATCAGCATTGCATTGGGAACGGTGAGGTGACATCACAGAACCTGAATTCTCACTCCTTCTGCAGATTCTCCTTCTTCTTTTTTTTTTTGACAGAGTCTCACTCTGTCGCCTAGGCTGGAGTGCAGTGGCACAATCTTGGCTCGCTGCAAGCTCTGCCTCCCAGGTTCACGCCATTCTCCTGCCTCAGCCTCCCGAGTAGCTAGCTGGGACTACAGGCACCCGCCACCTCGCCCGGCTAATTTTTTTGTATTTTTAGTAGAGACGGGGTTTCACCGTGTTAGCCAGGATGGTCTCGCTCTCCTGACCTTGTGACCCGCCTGCCTCGGCCTCCCAAAGTGCTGGGACTACAGGCACGAGCCACAGCGCCCGGCCAGATTCTCTTTCTTTACCTCCTTCTCTGCTCAGCATCACCTTCCCAGAGCAACACAGCTGAACAACCACACTAGAAAGCAGCCCCTTTTGTTGTTCATCTATCCACACAGAGGAAACAGCAGTGAAGAAACCAGACAAAAATCCCCACCCTGAAGGGGCTGATATTCTATTGTGGGAGGTAGATAATCCAGCAGACACACATAGAATCTGCAGAGGTTTATACAGCAGTGAGTGCTAGAAAGAAAAACAAGCAGAGAAGGGGAAGGGGAATTGTTGGGGTGGGGAGAAGAAGCAGAAAGTGTGAATAAACTGTGCAGGAAAGACTTAGGAAAAAGTGACTTCGGAGTTAAGATATGAAGAAAGTGAGGGGGCTTCATTGTGGGTATCTGGGGAAAGAAGTGGGCAGCCGAGAGTATAGTAAGTACAGAGGGAACATATATCACCATGGAACAGTAAGTGCAGGGGAACAGTAAGTGCAGGGGAATAATAAGTGTAAGAGAAACAGGAAGTACAGTGGGAACAGGAAGGGCAAGGGGAACAAGGAGAGCAGGGGAATAGTAAATGCAGGGAAATAGGAAGAGCAGGGAAACAGCAGTGTAGGGGCACAGAAAGGGCAGGTGAACAGTAAGTATGGGGGAAGAGTAAGTTGGGGGTAACAGTAATTGTAGGGGGATTAGGAAGTGCAGGGGGACAGGAAGTGTAGGGGAACAGGAAGTGCAGGATTAATAGTAAGTGCAGGAAACAGTATCAGCAGGGGAACGGTAAATGAGGGGCAAATAGCAAGTGCAAGGAGGCACAGTAAGTGCACGGGAAGAGTAAGTGCAAGGGGAGCAGTAAGTGAGGGGACAGTAATCAAAAGGTGAATAGCAAGTGCGGGAGAACAGTAAATGCAGAGGTAACAGGAAGTGTAGGGGCAACAGGAAGTGCAGAGGAAATAGTAAGTACAAGGGAACAGGAAGTACAGGGGAACAGAGGTGTGTAAGCACAGGATGTCTGGGGACACAGGAAGTGCAGGGAACAGTAAGTGATGGTGGAACAGTAAGTGCTAGGGTACTGTAAGTTCAGAGGAAACAGTAAGTGCACAGGAATGATAACTATAGAGTCCTGCTGTTGTTTTACCCCTGAGACTCCTGTTCACAAATTAACTGTGCTAACTTGTTTGTTAACACAGTTTCTTGTTGATCTCCCTTATTGTGTAAGTTCCATGAAGGCAGGGATTTTGGTATGCTTTGTTTACTGCTCTCTCCCCAGTGCCTAGGATAGTGACTGGTCTTATTGAGTGCTCAGTAGCAATTTTGTTAAAGGAATGGATGGATGAATGAATTGGTGGGTGCTGTAGGGTGGGGAATGCTGAAGGATGGGAGGCTATATCTGATGTTTGACAGTGAAATCAAGCAGCACAGTCCCGATAGCTGGGGGTGTGTGGCTGGGGCTCAGGGCTGAGGCCACTGAGATGGCTCCCAGGGAAGACAGATTCTGATCCAGGACCAGGAATGCCAACCCGGGGCAGCTTGAGATAGGCCACACTGATGGCTAGAAGGGCCAATGCTCTGACCAGGGCTGGCTGGTCAGAGCATTCCATCCTGAACGTGCCTGGCCTGATTAGATGTTCCAGCTGGCAATGCCTGAGGGTATAGTGCATCCTCAGGAAGTGCTAGAGCTCTGGGGCAGGTGGGCATAGGTAAGGGGCCTGGGGTAGGAAAGGGGAGTGTTCTCTTCCTGATCTCCCATGTCAAGTATCATATAAAGGGACTCTGGGGACCATTCCCTTCCAGTCCCCAGCAGAGTCTGGTCAAAGGGGTGTGATGGCTGTGTTGTAGTATTTGTGGTTTGGATGGCCATATAATTTATTGTTCAAATCACCAGCACACCTTTTTGGGGTAACATTTAAGATATATTTTAAAAATAATTTCAGATGTACAGAAAAGGCACAAAGATATTACAAATAACTTTTTTTTTTTTGAGACAGAGTCTTGCCCTGTTGCCCAGGCTGGAGTGCAGCAGCATGATCTCGGCTCACTGCAACCTCCACCTCCTGGGTTTAAGCAATGCTCCTGTCTCAGCCTCCCAAGTAGTAGCTGGGATTACAGGCACCTGCCACCATGCCTGGCTAATTTTTGTATTTTTTTAGTGGAGACGGAGTTTCACCATATTTGTCAGGCTCGTCTTGAACTCCTGACCTCAGGTGATCCACCCACCCTGGCCTCCCAAAGTGCTGGGATTACAGGGGTGAGCCACTGCGCCTGGCCTACAAAAAACTTTTATCTCCTGGACCATCTGAGAGTTGCTGACATGATGCCCAACACCCTGAAGCCTTTAGTGTGTTTTTCCCTCTAACAGACCATTCTCTGCAACACAGCCATCCAAATCAGGAAAGTAGCACTGAGAGGACACCAGCATCTGATCCCCAGACCCCACTGAGGTTTTGCCAATTGTAGAATATCCTTCGAACAAAAGGATCCAGTTCAGGACCACACGGTGCCCTGAGTTATCCCATCTCCTGAATCTCCTTTAGTTAGGAACATTGTTCAGTCTTTCCTTGACATTCATCAATTGGATGCCTTTGAATGTTATCCTCCAGCATTTTTTGTTTTTTTGAGATGGAGTCTTCCTCTGTTGCCCAGGCTGGAGTGCAGTGGTACAATCTCGGTTCACTGCAACCTCTGACTCCCTGGTTCAAGCGATTCTCCTGCCTCAGCCTCTCGAGTAGCTGGGATTATAGGCACTCGCCACCACGCCCAGCTAATTTTTGTATTTTTGGTAGAGACTGGGTTTCACCAAGTTGGCCAGGATGGTCTCGATCTTCTGACCTCGTGATCCACCAGCCTCGGCCTCCCAAAGTGCTGGGATTACAGGCATGAGTCACCACGCCCGGCCTCCTCCAGCATTTTTAAAAAAATAGAATGCCCCTCAATTTGGGTTTGTCTGCTGCTTCCTAATGATTAGATCAGGTTTTGTGTTTTCAGAGGGATGGCACAGAAGGGATGTTGCGTTCTCCTCACTGCACCCCATTGGGGTCCACAGTGGCAGTTCGTCTTATCACTTGATTATGGAAGGAGCCTTCTTCCCTGTAAATGTGGGAAATGTGCTCTTCCCCTTTGCGAGTAACATGCCTCTGTGGGGAGGCAGTGCTTTGAGCCCAGGTGCATCCTCTCTTCTCCCTCCACCTTCCATTTGCCAGTTTTTTTTTTTTTAAATTGAGATGGAGTCTTGCTCTGTCGTCCAGGCTAGAGTACAGTGACACGATCTCAGCTCATCACTGCAACCTCCGCCTCCTGGGTTCAAGCAATTCTCTTGTCTCAGCCTCCCGAATAACTGGAATTACAGGCATGTGCCACCATGCCTGGCTAATTTTTCTACTGTAGTAGAGATGGGGTTTCACCATGTTGGCCAGGCTGGTCTCGAACTCCTGACCTCAAGTGATCCACCCGCCTTGGCCTCTCAAAGTGCTTGGATTACAGGCATGAGCCACTGTGCCTGGCCCTTACTTGCCAGTTTTAGTATCCTTTGATTCTTGCCTGAAACAATTGTTCCCCAAGTGGCGGCCAAATAATGACTTTCAGATCACATACTCCACCCCTTCCACATTTACCAGTTAGCTTCCACTGTTAGGAAGAGCATTCTCTTCTCCCCATGCATTCATTTATTTTAAAATTTATTTACATTTATTTTTATTTATCATTCAGAGGAAAACAGGGACATTTTTGAGAGTGGAAGGGGCAATAGGTACATATTCAGGGATGATAGGTATAAACCAGGACTGTCCCCAGAAAACTGGGAGGTGCGTTGACCTGTGACACCCCTCACCCCCACTCCAGCCGGCTTCTGGGTAAGGAAAGCGGCTCTGCTACCACTCCAAAGGGGATGCCTGCCTGCCCAGTTCCAGGAGCCAGGCCTTGGAAATTCTCCTGACACCCCCTACTCTCTCATCCCCATATCCATTCTGTCACCAAGTCCTGTGCATTTTACTTCCAAAATGTAGCTTCGATCTACCTGTTCCTTCCCACCTCCACCAGCCTGGTCCACGCTGCCATTCCCTCTCCTCTAGGCCAACACTGTCATTTCTATTCTGCCCCATCCTATTCCATTTGCACACTCAGTCACAGAGACCTTTGAAACACACAGATCTATTCGGTGGCTCAGCCCCCTCCCTCGGCTCCCCTCTGGCATGGCCCCCATGTGCTCCTCCCCTCCCTCCCCATCTACGCCCCAGCACCCCAGGCCCTGGAGCCCTCAAACTCCCAGGTTTCCAACCCTAACCTGCCAGCCATTGAAGCTTACAGATTCTTTGTAGTTATACATTTTTATAGTTACAAAATCATTTTTTCACAACCATTCAAAAACGTGCAACAGTTGAAATTTTATTGGAAGGTAACTTTGGCACCACTGTCACCTTTCAGATTCAGTCACAGCAGCTGTGCCCAGTCGACATCCCACCTGCCACCAGAGGGCTCTCTGTAGTGCCACAGGTGGTCCTCATCCACTACTGCCTGCCCGGCCGCTTCTCATCAGTGGTGACTGTCAGGAACCCAAAGGACTGACCCCTGAAAAACATTCCTGATCCCGGACTGTGCTTAGTCAGCTCAAGCATGAAACCTGGTACATTGGTATAAAAAAATTTATGCTTGTAAGGCTGGTTGCGGTGGCTCACACCTGTAATCCCAGCACTTTGGGAGGCCAAGGCAGGCAGATCAGGGTGGGTCCCGGTTAGGTTGGAAGTTTGAGACCAGCCTGGCCAATATGGTGAAACTCCGCCTCTACTAAAAATACAAAGGTTATCCAGGCATGGTGTTGTGCGCCTTTAATCCCAGTTATTCAAAAGGCTGAGGCACGAGAATCACTTGAACCCGGGAGGCGGAGGTTGCAGTAAGCCGAGATCACACCACTGCACTCCAGCCTGGGTGATAGAACGAGACTCTGTATCAAAATAAAAAAAAAGAAAAAAAAAAGTTATGCTTGTAGAAGCCAACTCAAGATTAATTTACATATTTAAAAATATTTTCCTTGGAAATTTAATACACATCCAATATCGATTATCTTCTTTAAGTACTTTGTATCTTATTCTTCCTGTCAAGCTTTGCACTATAAAGGTGATGTCATGCTTTTCTGCCATGCCTCATGCAGGTGGCACCTCCTTCCTCACCCCCACGTCTTTTCCAGGTGAGCCGCGATGCGCAAAAGGTTGGGATGCCTGGCACAGGATGCCAGCTAGTCGATGTCTTTAGAATGCCCCTGCTGTCTCTCCCGGGGCTAAATCCTATTCCACCGTGAGCCTTCCTTGACCAGCAGAGAATAGAAGCGCCTGGTACATACAGGCCACCAAAGGTATCTGTTGAACAGACATGCACACGGCTTCTGCCGTGGGCCAGGAGGGCCCACTCAGGAGCCTGGGTACTTTCCCTCCATAGGCCATGTATTCCTGTGAACAGATGAATAGGGCAGATGCTGCTTTTATCCCTATTTTACAGGTGATAAAGCTGAGGCTCAGAGGGGCTTAGAGACTTGGCTAAGCTCAACAAGCTGCTGGGAAGTAGTAGAGCTGTGATTCAAATCCAGGCATTCTGGCTCCAGGACCATGCCCTTAGCTGCTGTCTCTTCATGCGCCAACCTTTGTGATGCTGTATTTGTTTGTAGTATATGACTATTGTGACCTCTGTGGGGGCACTTAGCACAAGGCCTGGTCCTTGGTAGGTGCTCAATACATATTGTTTAAATGAATGAATGAAAGCAATTATTGTTCCTTTAGATGATCAAAATTTCCACTCCACCCTAAGTTCCCCTTTCATGGAATGAAGGGATACGAGGCTAGGGAAAGTCAGCTTGGGACACTGATGGATTCTCAGAGGGCAGAGCTTGGCCTTCTTGGCCTGCCAGTGGGCAGAGAGACCCTCCCTACCCGAGGGGGCCAGGGAAGGCTTTGCTATGGCAGCGACATTGAGATAGGGTTTTGAAGGATGAGTGGGAGTTCACTGAATCTCAGAAGTGCAGCCTGATGGAATCTGGGGTTGGAAGCAGCACATGTAGTGAAGGGTCAGTCTCATCTTCAAACGACCTCCCCATCATTTAGGCTGGAGGTACAAAGCAGGACTATAGGAACATATACAGATGGCTGTGAACCCGTGACATGGCCAAAGGTTTCCTCTCATCCCTTTTGCTGAATCATTTAGTGCTGTTCAAAGACAAGGCGGTTAAGCCTTGTTCCCTTCGATGTCTCTCACTTGGAATGGATGCTTCTGGCTGCCAGCTGCTCTCCTCCTCTGTGGCTGGAAGCATTTTGGGTTTCTGGGGGTCTTCTCTGAGACTGCAGTTATCCTAGGCATGAAGCAAACATGAGCATCACTGTCTGCTGACCTCTTAACTGTGGGCTGCAGATGAGCAGATGGGGCAGGGGCACAGGGAGCAGGGTGTGGCTCCAGAGAGGAGCTGGAGATCTGGGTAGGGTGGGGACAGGTGGGTGGCCTGCGACACAGGCTAGCTGGCAAGCACCACAGTCCCATGGCCACAGGAAGGACATGTGATGTCAGCTGGCACAATCTGGGGACCAGAACCAGGAGACAGATATCAATTCTGAACGGACTTCTTTCAACACCTGGATCCACCTAGCCCCAGAGTCCTGCACTTCACAATGACTCAAAATCCTCCTGTGCTGTGAAGCCAATTTAGGACGGGTTTCTGACTCTGGCTACAGGAGGTTCCAGGGCAGAGGAGAGTTGGCTTGGTTCAGGGACCAGAGTGAGGCCTGCAACCTCTCCCATGGTTGTGCCCAGAGGAAGAAAGACCATGCAGGCTCAGAAACACTCCCGGATGTCCCTGGCTACTATGCAGAGGAGGGGCAGAGCTGAGTAGTTTTAGAGACTAAGGTTGAAGAGAAAGCACACATGCATTCCCTTTATGCAAAAACACATGACAGATTTGCACTGGGACCTGCAGGAACCACAGGCTCAGGCCCACAGACACAAGACAGAAGAGCACACACACACACACACACACACACACACACACACACACTTCAAATGGTTTAAACTTGTGCTGCAAAAAAAGTACACGCCCTTTGACCTAAAAATTCCGTTTCTGGGAAGCTATTCTTAGGAGAGAACTAAGGATGTGTACCAAGACTCAGATGCAAGGAATATCCCTGCAGTGCTGTTTGTAATAATAAAAAGCTGGCAACAATCTAGATTCTAATAAGGGGTGCTGAAGTCCGCTGTCGTTGGAGGGCACAGTGGCATGCTATTCAGCCCTCAAGAGGAAGTACGGAGCTGTTTACACAGAAGATGAGTGTCATTTATTGTTGAGTGCAACAAAAAGCAGCTTGAAAAATAATCTGAATGGTATGAGCCCATTTGGGTAAGATAGAAGTCAGAAGCAGCTTGGAAGAGGGGCTGAAAAATTTGCTCGGTTGCGGGGGTAATCATGGTTGTTTCTGGTTGCTTTTTTCTTTTTTTTTTTTCAGACACAGGTCTCGCTCTGTTGCCCAGGCTGGAGTGTAGCAGTGTGATCATAGCTCACTGCAGCCTCGACCTCCCAGGCCCAAGCAATCTTCCCACCTCAGCCTCTGGAGTAACTGGGACTACAAGTGTGTGCCACCATGCCTGGCTAATTTTTTAAATATTTTGTAGAGATGGGGTCTTACTATGTTGTCCAAGCTGTCCTTGAACTCCTGGCCTCAAGCAGTCCTCCCACCTCGACCTCCCAAAGTGTTGGGATTATTGGAGTGAGCCACTGTGCCTGGCTTCTAGTTGCTTTTGAGTCGGTGGGATTGTGGCATTCTTTCTTTTCCTGTAAGGGAATCAAGAATTGCTTTCTGGGGCCAGGCACAGTGGCTCATGCCTGTAATCTCAGCACTTTGGGAGGCTGAGGCTGGCGGATCACTTGAGGGGAGTTTGAGACCAGCCTGGCCAACATGGCGAAACCCCGTCTCTACTAAAAATACAAAAAATTAGCTGGGCATGGTGGTGTGCACTCGTAGTCCCAGCTACTCAGGAGGCTGAGGCAAGAGAATCACTTGAACCTGGGAGGTGGAGGTTGCAGTGAGCCAAGATTGCACCATTGCACTCCTGAACTCCAGCCTGGACCACAGAGTGAGACTCTATCTCAAAAAAAAAAAAAAAAAATTGCTTTCTGGGTAGGAAAAAAAGGGAAGGGAAAGGAAGGGAAGGGATTGATTTTGAAAGGAATAGGAATTCTATACACATATACCTCCATATATACAAACTTGAAGTATGGATAAAGATTGAGATTGCTATGTGGGTTATAAAAGCATGAGGTTGGAAGTAACTTATATGTCTAGCAATAGGGGATTGATTAAGAAATCAAAGTACAGTCTTTCAATGGAATTGCTATGCAACTGTTCCAAAGATTGAGGAATGTCTAGATAAGCTCTGGTTAGTAAGAGTCTCCGAGATGTATTGTCAAAACCACCACCACCACCAACAGCAGCATAATGTTTATAGTATGTAATCATTTGCATAGAAACAATTTTATGCACATGTAAACATAAACTGTCTCTGGAAGGACCCATAGGAAACCGATAGCGGTGTTTGTCCCTGGGGAAGGGAACTGGTGGTCTGGAATCAGCGCTGGGGGAAGAGGGGCTCATTGTAGATGTAAACCTGTTTAAATCTTGAATGAAAATTTTTTTTTGCATTATTTGCATGTGTTTTTCCTTTGAAAGCCTAAATTAAAAATGAAGAAAAGGAAAGCACAGACATGCTTAGGTAAGCACATGGCTGAGACGTCCAAACATGCTGGCAGAACAGCTGCTCATCCCCAAACACAAACAACACCCTGCACCCTCATACCTATGGGCATGTCAACAGAGATTCAAGCAAGTCCTTCAGGGAGTCAGGCCTCACACATGGCTGGGGGTGGTGGAGTAGGGGGTATGGGGGCAGCTGGGAGCAGTGGCAGTTCTGTGCTCTGCCTCTTTAATTCCCTCTGGCTGAAATGCCAATTTTCTGCTAGGCTGGTCTGGCTGCTGCAGAATCACTTCTGTTAACAAACTGCACCGAAGAGCTGAGCAATTAGGCAATTAAACTGTTTTAAATTGAATTTAGAGCTCTGATATTTCTCTGGGAAGATGGCCTCCTGGCTTCACCTCTGCCCTGGATGGTGGATGGGAGAGGAGAGGGCTAAAGTGCAGGGCTTGTAACAGTGGCTGTGTGGGGGCTGCTCTGAGATGGACTCGTAGATCTATGGCCCAGGGAATGCAGCCTCTCCTGGCTCACTGCTATGTGCTACAGTGTGCAGATTCTTCATTCATTCATTCATTCATTCATTCATTCATTCACGTATTTATGGGATACCCATTATGTGCCAGGACTGTTCTGGGCACTGGGATCTAGCGATAGCGGTGAATGGAATAGAGCCCTTGTCCTCTGGAGTTTATATTCTACTAAGGGAAACAGATGACAAACAAAGAAACAAAGAAGCAAGACGATTCCAGATTGAAATGGGAATGAGAAAGGGAATGGCGGGGAGACATGTTAGCAAGAGTAGTGGGTGAAGGCCTCTCTATGGAGGTTACATTCCTGCTAAGAAGCTGAAGCCTGGGGAGATGCAGGCATAATAAGAGCTTTCCAGGCAGAGGGGACAGCAAGGGCAAAGGCCCTGGGGTATGTCCAGGCTGGGCTGATGTGCATAAGACCAAAGATTAAAATGGAGAAGAGTTAGGGGAGATCAGCGGGGCCTCCGTGTGTGCTAGCACCGCCCCTGTGAAGTTCACAACAGTCTAACAAAAGGGGACCTGTGGATCCATATTGACTCAGAGAGGAAGGGACCTGAATCGCTCAGCAGGGGCAACTGCAGTAGCCAGGACTGCTCAGAATGAAGAATAGCCCCAGGTGCCCCAGCCACGTGCCCACATGGCTTTCCCTGGTGGAGCAATTAGATGGGCTCCCAGGACAGAGCCGGGGCAGGCAGGCCCGTTGCCACTGAGTGTGAGGAGGGGCTTTTGACCCAAACATCTGACCATGGAATGCCCTCCCTGTAAGGAGGTGAGCTTCCTATTCTGGGAGGAATTTGAGCATAGGCTGGGCAACCAGTCGAGAGGGTTTCATAGAGGAAATCCCTGCTTTGAACAGTGTTGGGCTGCAACGGTGTTTTCCAGCTGCTGGCCATGGGGACTTGCTGGGGGTGTGCTCACCCTGTGTGATGCTGGGCAGGCCACCTCACTGCTCTGCAGCTCAGCTTCCTCAGCCATAAAGTGGAGCTGGTGATGGTACCCACAGAGAGCGTGCTAGGTGACTTAATGCAGCCAACACCCTCGGAACGCTGTCGGGGGAGCTGCTGTGTTATTATAACAGCCATGGGCTTTCACCCACTTGCTTTTCATCTCTTTTTCTTTTGATTTGAAAATCTCAAAGCACGCATATGGTAAAAAACAAAAACAAAAACCAACCAACCATCCAAAAGGATCAGCAGTCAAAGGTGAGTCTCTCTCCAACCCCTGGCCCCACGTTCCCCCTGGAGGCCATCACTGCCAGCACTTGAGTGGGGGATTGTAATCCTTCCAGAGATATTCCACACGTAAGGAAATGCCTTTCCCACACAAACTGTAGCATTCTATATATATCCTTCTGTATTTGGCTTCTTTCCTCACTCCTTGTCAGAGCCATGTACATTGATTTAAAAAATTTTAAATTTCTGAATAGGAAATATATTCTCACGGGGCTTAAAAAGTTACAGTGATGTATATTGAGAATTCTTTCTCTCCTTCCTGTTCCTGACCACCCCATGCCCCAGACAGGTGACCACTTGTACTGATTTCTTATGGATCCTTTTAATGTTTCTTTACACAAACATATACAAATAGACATTCTTATTTCTCCACCCCATTCCTACACAAAAGCCTTATACTGTGTGCGTGGTTCTGCATGTTTGTTTTTCTGCTAACATCTACTAGCATGGCCCAGGGAATGCAGCCTCTCTTGGCTCGTCCCTAAGTGTTAGAGTGTGCAGATTCTTCATTCATTCATTCATTCATTCATTCATTCATTCATGTATTTATTGGACATCCATTATGTGCCAGGACTGTTCTGGGCCCTGGGATCTAGCGGTAGTGGTGAGTCTCACAGCAATGTGGAAGGACCTGTTTCCCAACAGCATGTGGAATTTTCCTATCAGCCCACGGAGCCTCCTCACTGTCTTCAACAACTGTGCGGTATTCCACTGTGTGCCCAAAGCAGAGTTTGTCTAACCAGCTCCTAGATGGGTTGTTTCCAATATTTTCATGATTACAAACGGCAGCAGTGCCTCCCGTGGTGGAACTGTGAGGACGCATCATTTCGTGGTGCCCAGGATGTTTGCAAGACCCATGCTCAGAGGTAGGGTTGCAGGGTCACATGGTAAATATGACAGCCCTTTCTATGGACAGCTTCCCCTCCAGAGGGTGTTCCCTTGACTCTCATGGCAATGTGGAAGGACCTGTTACACACACACACACACACACACACACACACACACGCTGTCGGCAGCACTAGAATTCTTTGCTGTTCTGATAGGTGAGAAATGGTAACTTGATGTCATTAATTTCCATTTCTGTTATCATGTGTGGAGTTGGACATTTGTCATACATTTAGGGGCCTTTTGAGTTTTCTGTAAACTGTCTATTCAAGTTTTCTGCCAATTTTCGGGGGGGTTGTCTTTTCTAGATTTCTAGAAGCTTTTAATGTATTAGGTTAGACCAGGGATTGGCAAACTGTTGCCTGTGGGATAAATTGGGCCCACTGCCTTTTAAATTTTTTTGTAAATAAAATTCTACTGGAACAGAGCTGCACTCACTGTCTGTGGTTGCCTTCTGCCACCACAGCAGAGCTGAACAGTTGCCACAGATACCCTCATGGTCTGCAAAGCTGAAAGTACTCACTACACAGCCCTTTACACAAACAGCCTGCTGACCCTGTGCTAGACTTTTGTAATGAGTTTCAAACATTTTCCCCAGTTTCTCATTTGTCTTTTGACTTTTCCTTTTTCTTTAAGTGCATTTTTAGCTTAAAGATAGTTTCTGGTCGGGCACGCTGTCTCACTCCTGTAATCCTAGCACTTTGGGAGGCCGAGGTGGGTGGATCACGAGGTCAGGAGCTCGAGACCATCTTGGTCAACATGGTGAAATCCCGTCTCTACTAAAATACAAAAAATTAGCCAGGTGTGGTTAGCTGGGCATGGTGGCATATGCCTGTAGTTCCAGCTACTTGGGAGGCTGAGGCAGGGGAATTGCTTGAACCTGGGAGGTGGAGGTTGCAGTGAGCTGAGATCGTGCCACTGCACTCCAGCCTGGGTACAGAGCAAGACTCCATCTCAAAAAAAAAAAAAAAGTTTCTTGGACATCTTTTGATAGGGCTAAAGCTTGACTTCTGGAGGGTCTTGCTTCTCAAAAACCACCCTTTTTATATGCCAGCCTCTGAGGTTCACTGTCGCTTGTGTGTCTGGTTTTTTTTTTTTTTTTTTTTTTTTTTTTAAACAGGGTCTTGCTCTGCTGCCCCGGCTGGAGCGCAGTGGTGTGATCACGGCTCACTGCAGCCTCGACCTCCTGTGCTCAAGCGATCCTCCCGATCCTCCCGCCTCAGCCTCCTCAGTAGCTGGAACTACAGGTGTGCGCCACCAAGTCAGGCTAATTTTTAAAAATTTTTTGTAGAGATGGGGTTTCCCTGTGTTACCCAGGCTGGTCTCGAACTTCTGGGCTCAAGTGATCCGCCCTTCTTGGCTTCCCAAAGTGGTGGAAATACAGGCATGAGCCACCGTGACCGGCCTGTTGCTTGAACTTCATTCCAGTGCTAAAAGGAAATGCATGAAAAGACAGACTTAAACCAAAACTATGTAGACATTGATGGAGAATTTGGCACTTGGATACTTGGATTCTTACTGCTGAGATTTCAATGGTTTGAGACGTGAAGATTGAAGCTGGGGATATGATGATGCCCGTGTTACAGATGAGGACACTGAGGCTCAGACAGTCGTGCAGCCTGCTGGCCTGCGGGGACGGGGACAGCGCTGCGGGACGGCGCCTGGCGCTGGGTCGGCCACTCCCAGCTGGTGACCTTGGCCACTCCCAGCTGGTGATCTTGGCTGTGAAGCGAGATCCAGAGAGGGGAGGGGCCCCAAGGACCCAGCCGAGTGCGGGCAGGGCGGAGCTGAGCGTGGGTCCCAAGGGAGTCCCCGACGTTCTGCGGCCCCCCCAACGCCCGGCCTCTGGAGGCCGTAGGGGCTCCCTGGCCTCTCGCCCCCAGTGCAGCCCGGGCACAGTGCAGTCGCTCCGCGCCATGCTTGACGTGGGCACCAGGGGGCGGTGCGGCACCAGGCATGGCGGCGCGCGGGGCCGGGCTCCGGAAGGGGAGGGGGGCGGAGGGGAGGGGAGGGGAGGGTAGGGAAAGGGACGGGAGGACAGCAAGGGGAGGGGAGAGGAAGGAGAAAGAGGGGAGGAGAGGGGAGGTGAGGGGAGAGTAAAAGAAAGGGGAAGGCAGCGAGAGGAGGGGAGAGGAGGGGTTGGAGTAGGAGGGGAGGGGAAGGAAGAGGAGGGGAGGGAAAGGAGGAGGAGGGGAAGAGGAGGGGGCGCCTCCGGACTGCCGCAGGCCCCTCTCAGTTGCGCCTTTCGGAGGGGCTGGGCAGCGCCTGCCCTGCTGCCCAGCCCCGGGCTGTGCGTCTGCTCTGAGCTGCGCCAACACCGCCTGGCTTACTCCCCTACCCCTCCCCCGGACCCAGTCCTTGCCCCAGCTCCGTCCCTCCTCCCTTGACCCCTCCTGAGTACCCCAGCTTATGTCCCCTCTCCAGCACCCAGTCCGTGTCTCACCTCCAGACCCCAGCTCGCACCCCCAGCCTCAGACCGCACCCATTGACCACAGCCTGTGCCCCTCCCTCCCCAGTCGCACCACCTTCCCAACCCCAATCCTTCCCTCCTGAGTTCCCCTCCGAGCTTCATTTTCTTGCCTGGAGCTGTTTGGAGCCAGACTCTCAGGGTTTGAGCTGAGCCTGCCGCTGGCCTTGGTGTGGAATGGAAAGCCCACCACCGAGCTGGCTTCAAACCCTCCAGGGCTCCTGTCACCTTAAAATAGAATCCCCATGAATGCCCTGCCGCCCAGCTGACACCGCGGCTCCCCTCTCCCCTCCTCTCCTCTTGCAGCGGGCACAACAGCCTTCCTGCTATCCACAAGGCCTCAGGGTTGTGCCTGCCTCCTGCCCCAGCACGTGTGGCTCCCTTGCCTGGAAAGCCCTTCCCTGGCAATGCCCCTCAACCTCTCCTGATGGCCCAAAATTCTCTCTCCCCCCGATGGACCAAGTAGTCCCAATTCCTCCCTGGATGTTTCTGTTCCACTCCCCTATTTATTCCTTCCTTTTTCCCCCTAGAACTTCAGGGCAGCACCCTCCCAGTCTCTGTCTCCACGGGACCTCCCTCCAGCACTGACAGGGCTGCCTGGCACATGGCAGGGACTCAGTGACATGGGAGTGGAGGGTGACCTCAGTCTGGGACTATACCACTCGGCCAAGTGGACTCTGGATGAGGAGGCCTAGAGCCTGGCCTTCTCTGGGACGCTGGCCTGTTGGTCGTGACCTTGGCCTAAGCCCTTGGGGAGGGGACACGGGTCAGCTCACAACTCCCTGCTCTTGCTCACATTTGCTGAGCACTTGCTCTGTGCTAAGGGCTTTTCTTGAATCATCTCCTGGAATCTCATAATAATCCCAATAATGCGTCTCCTTTTTTGGATGAAGAAGCCAAGCTTCAGAGAGATTAAGCTACCTGCCCAAGGTTACATAGCTAAAAGTGGAGGCTGAGTTTGAACCCAGAGAGACAAGCTGCTCCTCTCCTGAGACAATGGGTACGTGAGCCGAGAAGCCCCCATGAACTTCACAGTGATTCTGTCAGTGAACAGTTGGGGAAACTGAGGCCTGCTGCCCAAGTGTCACAGCTAAATGGAGGCAGAGCTGGGGCTCCGAGCCCCAAGGTGAAGGGAAGAATGTGCTTCTTCACAGCATGTCTCCAGAAGCCCCAGGAGTGACTAGCTGGCCGGCCCCGAACCCCACTGGCCTCAGTTTCCCCTTGGAGGATAGCCCCATCCATGGTCTCTGGCTCTTAGGGTCTCTGAATTCATTCACATCTTGAAAGTTGCAGTTGGGAGTCTCAGGTCTGGTGGCAGGAAACTGAGGAGACAGTCGTGGAATCGGGGTGGGGAGTGGTGCGGGAGGATTGTTTGTTCCCTCAGAGACTCTCTAGTGTATGTGTCCCTTGTCAGCTAAGCAAGACGGGCTCACCACAGCAGGTGGGCTCAAGCCCACCTCAAGCAGAGGTGGCCCAGGTGGCAAACTCAGGTGCTGGGGGAGCAGGGCAGGACACCAGAGGGGCATGGGATTCGGAGAGTGGGGGCTGTGACCTCTGGTTTGAAGGGGCATCTGCAGACAACCCCGTGCAGAGCCAGGGCTCACACTGCCATAGCCAGTGCCACAGACTGTTGAAGAGATGCCGAAAGCCAAAACATCTTCGACGTGAAGGCTCCCAATGTTGTAGAGTTGGCAACGGATTCAAATTTTCAAAGCTATACAGGTAAAACAAACTAGTTCTAAGGGCTGAATTCAGCTGGAATGGCTGTTTCTGCTCAAATCCAGCTCTGCTTCTTGTTCGGAACCTCAGTTTCCTGATCCATTAAATAAGCCTAACAGTTCCTCCTGGTGGAGGATCATGTGGGCCAATAAGTAATAATAAAGCGGCTGTGCACAGACGAGTGGTATCATTAGTCCCCACCACAGCAGAGGGAGCGGCTCCAGCAGGCTTGAAGCAGCCTCCTCCGAGCGCACATGGTGTAAAATATAGATTATTCCTGCCACAGACACAGGCCCTGCCTGAGAGGCACCCGCTGAAATCCTGACCTCCCCCTTCTCCGGTGCTGGTCCTTAAACAGCCCCCATTCCTACTGGTCTCTTGGCCTTTGCACTTGCAGTCCCCTCCTCTGGGAGCACCTCCCCAGACTGTGGTGTGGCTGGCTCCATTTTTCCATTCAGGCCTCAGCTTAAATGTTACCTCCTCGGAGAAGCACTTGCTCGGTCGCTCCACCCTGCTTAACTCTGCCTCCTGCATGATGCTTTGGATCTCTGCCTTCCTCATGATGCTTCGGATCCCTGCCTGCCTAGGACCGTGGGTCTCCCCGCCCAAGTGTGTGCGCCATCTGTGCAGCCCTTCCTCTTCCTGCTCACCCAGACCCCAGCTCAGGGCCCTGATTCACATGATGGGTTCTCAAGGAATGAATGAATGGATGGATGGATGGGCTGGCTGGGATTGGGGCTGTTCTCCTTTCCAGGGGATCCAATTAGAGGAAAGTCCCTGAGTGCAGCAGCTGCCCAGCCCTCCCCAGCAGGCAGACAAAGTCCATCTGGAGGCTTTGTTTAAAAATGCTGAAATCAGGCCGCTCAGCTGTACTACCACGGTAGACACAGCCCTCCTGAGGGGTGCAGGCCTGTCTTGCCCAGTTTTGCTGGGCTCTGCAAAAAGAAGTGTGGATTTAGGACTGGTAGATCTTCTGGCTGAGAGACCCTGGGGCCCTGCTCTTCCATGGAGGCTGTGAGGGTTGGAAATTGCCCAAGGTCACAGTGAGGTTGGGACCAGGGCTGAGGGAACAGTGGGGCAGGGACAGGCTCAGCACACAGTGGCAGTGTGAGGGTCTGGGTGGGAGGGGGCACAGGGCCTTCTGTCCTCTTTGTGGTGAGGTGACAGATGGCTGATTGAGCCCTCCTCCTGCCTTAGCTGGGGCCACAGCCCTCCCAGGGCTGTCTCTCCAGGCCACCTTGCACATGGCCACCAGAGGGCGATGTCTTAAACAAAATTGCTCCCGCTTACAATCCTGCAGTGGCTGCCCGGCCTCAGGACAGTTGAGCCTCCAGCCAGGTGCGTGAGGCCGCTCGGTGCCCCAGACCTTGCCCCGCTGCACAAGGGCCAGCATGCCGCTGCCTCCGACCTTCGCCCTGTGCCTCATCTTTGCCCAGCATCCCTCCAGGACTGGGTTCACAGGTGGCCATGGTCCACAACCCTTCCCTGGCCTGCCCCCACCCCAGGCAGGTCAGAAGCTCTGGAGCCCTGCTGTCCCTGTGCTCTGGGCAGGGGTTCAGGCTGGAGGAGGAGGGACAGAAGGATGGGAGACTCTTGGAAGAGCGGCTTCCTCCTTGGTTGTGTGGCTGAGGCTGCGTATTTGATGTTTAAGAGGAGTGTTACCACAAAGCTACTCTCATCAATGCTGCCACACTCCCTGCCCACCTAGTCAAAAAGACAAAGTGAATGTAGGATGAATGAACAAATGAGTGAATGAGCACATTCTGCCCCGTCTCTTCTCTTTCCCTCACGCCTCACATCCGGCCTGTGAGGAAACCCTGCCACCTCCACCTCCAAAATACACCCAGAATCTGACCTCCCGCTCCGGCTCTGTTCCCACCGTGGTGTGGGCCACCCGCCCCACCACTCCTGAGCTGTTGCCGCAGCCTCCTTGCTGGCCTTGCTGCTTCTGCTCCTGCCCCATAGCAGCCAGAGGGACCCCCCTCCTAAACCCAAAGTCAGGTCCCGTCCCTCCCTCCTCTGTTCCACGCACTCCATGACCTGCTCAGAGGAAACAGTCCAACAATGGCCTAGAGGCCTGCACGGAGTGCCGGGGACCTCTCTGCCTCATGGTCCCCTCTCCTGGTGCACAGTCCGCTTCCACCACACCCAGCTCCTTACCAGCCCCGGAACATGCCAGTGACAGCCCTGGCCCTGGGTCTCTGCACATGCTGTTCCAGATGCTCTTCTCCCATCTTGCCCGCCCCTTCACTTCCTTTGGGTCTCTTGCCCAAGTCTCCAGGAGGCTTTCCCTGACTGCCCTGTGATAAAAGAAAAACTTTAGTTGAATTAAATTTAAAGAAGTTTAATTGAGCAATGAACGATTCAGGAATCGGGCAGCCCGCAGAATCACAGAAGAGTCACAGAGACTCCAGCGCAGATACATGGCGGAAGAAGATTTATAGACGAAAATAGGAAAATGACGTAAAGAAATCGGCATTCAGGTACAGAAACAGCTGGATTGGTTATAGGTTGGCGTTTGCCTTATTTGAACACAGTTTTTCCAATTTTGTCTACCTATTAAGTTAGGTTACAGTTCATCCACAAGGACTAACATATAGAAGTATGAAGTCCTTCTCAGGCCATTTTTAGTTTGCTTTAACACCTGTCATGCTCTACCTGTGGCTTTTCTCCTGGCTCTGTATTGTCGCCAGGCATGCTGTATTTCCTTCTGTCCGTGGCCAGCCTCCTCTGTTAGGTGGGAGCTCCGCCCTTTTCCCTGTTTCCAGGACAGTGCTCCACACGTGACAGATGCTCAGTGTTTGCTGGCTGGATGTGTCCGTGCCAGGTGGGGCAGAGGGGCCTGTGGGGCTGCCTCCTCCTGCCTGCATGTGTGGGGCAGGAGTGCTGGAGTCAGGCTGGGCCCCACTCCTGTGTCTCCTCTGGGTGTGTTTGGTGGTGGCCAAGCCCTGTGTTTGTTTAGGCAGCAGGCTTGCTCTGAGTTGGAAGGAGAGGTTGCGTGGTGCAGAGTGCCCGCGTTACTGGCCACCCTTGGTGACAGCCAGTGCCGCCGCCGTCCCTGAGTGTATGGAGTGGGCCTGTCACAATATTTGTTTAACAGGCGGCGGCACATTAAGCCAGGCAGCAAACACAGCACTGCCAAGGGGAAGCCTCCTGTGCCGCTGGGATCCTTTGCCATGCTAGTGACATGCTGCCCTTCTCCTGTGTCTGGCCTGACCGCCCGGGGCCCAGCCTGGCCAGGTTGCATGTGTCCCTCATGGTTCTGCCTCCTGGTTTCCTTCCAGCCCAGGGCCACCCATGCTCATCCCTGCCTTCCATCTTCTTGGGCCCTTTTGAACTTTTGGGCCCTGGCCCCCAAAGCCTGAAGTCAGCCCAGCTCTCCCAGAATCCCAGCTCCTGAATGCTGCAACAAGGACACCCTACCACGCAGAGCCCTCAGTCTCGGGGCCACCTGGTAGCCCCAGGCTTTCCGCCTCTCAGAGCAGGATGAGGGTGGGTAGGACCTGCTCTGGTCAGGGCTGTGGAAGGGCCAGGTGCTGGGACACAGGAATCCAGCTGTCTATTTGAACTTCTCTTGCTTGTCTGTCTGGCCCATCTATGTCTGAACATCTGTCTGACCACCTGGCTCCTCCCGTCTGTCTGCCTGTCCCCTCTGTCTATGTGCCTGCCTGTCTGTCTGCTTGGGTGTCCCCATGTACCAGACCCTGGGCTGGACCTGTACACAGACTTGCCCATGGAATACATCCAGCATCCCCATTTCACAGATGTGGTACATGAGGCCCAGCGTATCACAAGGTGCTGGGATCCACTGCTTACCCAATGCAGTCTTGGGGCCCCAACCTGCAGACCCCATCACACTGATGGCCGCTCTCTTCCCTTTCTCTGCACCTCACTGTGCTCCTGCCACCCCTCGCCCCATTGCCTTGCCCCCACCTGGAACCTTGTCCCTTCTCTGGGCTGCCCCCCTTAGTCGTGCCCCCAACCTGCAGAAGCTGCCTCACCCAGCCACTCCAGCCTGGTGTGACTCCCCCACCTCACACTCCCACAGCTCAGTGAGTCTGAAACACACAATTTAGCGCTTAATTATACACTCTGCTCACTAATTATTTTGTGCCTTATCTCCTCAACTCGCATGAGCTCCTCCAGGCAGAGCCAGCTCTTGCTCTGGCTCTGGGCTTGGCACAAACCTCCTTGTAGGCTACCTGGGCAGGGGGTGGCCACGCCCTTAGCCTGCAGCAGGGCTGAGAGCACCTAGTGGCCACAGGTATGGAAGGAAGGCAGCCTTTCCACTGGTGTTACTCGTATTTCTCTAGTTGTGGGGGCTCAGGGATAAGGCAGGATTCAACAATGCCCCATTCCCTTGCCCTCCTGGAGCACATGACTTCCCCCTTCAACAAATGAGTTCATCCTTACCAGTGCTAGGATGGAAACATCTGGAGGCTGGAACAGGGCCTGCCCACATCTGTACTTCCATCTTGACTGTGCTCATTTTCTCAAAGGCCACAGCCAAGCCAGCAGCTGGGCCTTTAGATGCTGCCTGCAAAATACCCCTGTTTTTTGTTTTTTGAGGTGGGGTCTCACTCTGTCGCCCAGGCTGGAATGCAGTGGTGTGAGCACGACTCTGCAGCCTCCAACTCCTGGGCCTAAGTGATCCTCCCACCTCAGCCTCCCAAGTAGCTGGGACCACAGGTGCACACCACTATTCTGGCTAATTTTTTTTTAATGTTTTGTAGAGACAGGGTCTCCCCATGTTGCCCAGACTGGTCTCAAACTCCTGGGCTCAAGCAATCCTCCTGCCTTGGCCTCCCAAAGTGCTGGGATCACAGGCATGAGCCACTGCATCTGGTCAATATGCCTATTTTGAATTATGCATGCCACCAGCTGCCCTACAGTGGCGTCACCTCTCACCCGGACCACAGCAGCAGCCTCCACATGGCCTCCTTGCCTTCCCCAGGCCACCAGACATCAAGTCTCTACCCAGGGAACAGAGGAAGCATCACCCCCACCCAAACCCTGTCCACACAGAACAAGCGTGCATCTATGCCACCTTATGAGGCCCCACATGCAGGGAGGGCCCCACTGTACTCCGACCCTCTCACACTGACAGCGGCTCTGGCCTCCCTGCTGTCCTGGAACATACCAAGCTCCCAGCTACCCTGGAGTTCTTTCCTGGAGAGAGAGAGAGATTGAGAGAGAGATTGAGAGAGAAGAGAGAGAGATTTATCTTACGGAATTGGCTCACACGACTGTGGAGGCTGAGAAACCCAGTCCGTCAGGTGGGCCCGGGGAAGAGTTGCCGTCATAGCTCAAGTCCGAAGGCCGTCTGCTGAAAGAATTCTCTCTTTGGCAGAGGTCAGTCTTGGTTCTATTGAGGCCTTTGACTGATCGGATGAGGCCACCTACATGATGGAGGGTAATCTGCTTTATTCAAGGTCCATTGGCTTAAATATTTTTTCTATCTAAAAAAATACATTTGTGGAAATGTCTAGACCAGAGTTTGACCAGAAACTGGGCAGTGTGGCCAGGCCAAGTTGATGTACAAGATGAGGCATCACAGAAGCCTTCCTAATTGGACAGCATCTGTGGGGGTGCTCGGACCCCCCCCCCGCTCCACCGCCCCATCCGCCGGGAGTCAGCACACCCAGCTGCAGAGAGCTGCCTCAACTGAGGTCGCTCCCCTCCCTATGAGCAACCGGTGCAGCTCCCCGGGGCCCTCTGAAGGGCCATCGATCTTCAGAATCTCTGCCTGCGTTGCTGGGGCTTCTGTTGTAGCTCATCACAGCTCCCCGCCAGCCCTGCCTTCTCTTGCCCTTTCTGTCCACAGTATCAACGCAAGAGCCCTCCCTAAGTAACGTCCTGCATGTTCACCTCCAACTCAGGGTCTCTTCCCAACCCTAGCCTGCGACGGGGCCACCTTCATAGCTGGCTTTCTTCTTCATTGTGTTCTGTATCTGACATTTCTTCTCTCACCTGGCTGGCTGTGCATCGTGGGTCTTCTGCCCTGGGACATGGGCTCCGTGGGGCAGTGCTGTGTCAGAGTACCCCTGCCATGCCCCTGGCACCTCTGTCACCTGCTACATGAAGGGACAGATAAACCGGCAGGTGTCTACTCTCAGGCTCTGGTCGAGATGCAGGCTGAACTTCTGGGATGCCTAGGGAAGCAGGACCCTTGGGCAGGACCCCGGTCACAGGACTTGGATCTGCAGCAGGCCTGCATCTACACACATGATAAAATGACATAGAATTCAACATGTGCATTGTATCAATGTCAATGTCCTGGCTTCAGTATTGAATAGCTACATAAGATGTTACCACTGGGGGAGACTGGATGAAGACATCAAAGGACTTCTTTATATTATCGTTGCAACTTCCTATACATCTGTGGTTATTTCAAAATTTAAAAATTAAGCAAATAAGGTTAGGATGCAAAATTATATTCTTTATTTTGATTGCATCCCTATGTATTCATAAGAATAATGATCAAGAGAGTCCAAAGAATTGTATTTAGAATTTTTTTAAGTTAATGGTGAAGGTATTGTTTTTGTTATTTATAATTTTATTCACCTTTCTAATAAATAATTATTGGGGGAAAAACTAGTTCCATGTGATATAAATATATATGAGAGTCTGTGAACACTCACTCATTCATTCTATAAATATTTATTGAGTGCAATAACAACAGAAAGCCTTGAACATCTTCAGCAATTTTCAGCAGTTTCCCGACCTGGGAGGCAACAGTAACATCCTACTTCCCTGAAAGCTGGCAGTAAACTCCAAGTCCCAACTTTTGATGTTCCAGCCCTTCCAATGGTTGTATAAACCCCTGACTCCCTGCCCTAAACCTTTTTCCATTGGGGGCCTCGTAAGGTGGCACCTAGCCCCACTAACACGGCATGTGTGTGTGTGTGTGCACCTGCACCTGCACCTGCACCTGCACAGGAGTCAGCTAGAAAGCACAAAGGCGAATGTGTCACTCCTGTGGCATGGGACCATGAATGGCCTCTGTTTGCCCTCTAGTTCTCTGGCTGGGAACTCAGAGATGTCCCTCCCTGTCCAATCTCATCTCCTGCCACTCCCCATACTTCCTCCCCAGCAGCTCCGCTCCAGGACATTGATAACTGTGAATAGAAGACAGTCGTTGGGAGATTTCACCGCAATCTGAATGACCACTCACTTTTTATCTCCACACAAGACTGTGAGCCCCTTGAGGATGGAGGCTCAGTTGCATTTTTCTTGGTACCACTAGAAATCAGCATTGAAGTTGGCAAAAAGTAGGGATCAGGGATTTTTTTTTTCTTAAATTCATGAGTGAACGCTGTCTCCCTGGTCAAACTGTTTTCAGAGGATTGAGATAAGGAGGCATTTGTCTGCAGGTTCCCATCTCCAGAGCAGAGGCTCTGCATGATGTCTTCAAAGCCAGATTGGATCCCTACCCCGGTCTGGAGTGTGAGCTAGAGCCTCGGCCCTCACCAGCATATGCTATAGCAAGGGCTCTGGGCAGGGAGGCATCAAACCCCAGGTGCTCAGGGGGACTCTGCTCCCCTCCATTTTTTCTAGAAATGTACCAGGACCCCTTCCCTGTGCTGGGTGCTAAGGATACAGCAGCAAACAAAATAGGCTGTCCCTCTGTCTTCACGGGCACAATATTCAGCCAGGCTCTTTGCCTCAGTGTCCCCAAGTGTTAATTGGAGACAGTAGCTCTTATATTGTGTGGTTGCTGCAAGGGTAAAATGAGTTAGAAGACATCAAGGGCTTAGAACGGTGCCTGGCACATAGTAAGTGCTAAATGAATCTGGCTATTATTAGATCATGGAGCTTATTATTAGATCACGGGTGAGTCAGAGGATAGACAATCAGGGAGTAACTAGGACCATCTTAGAGTGAGCTAAGTGCCTCAGGCGAGATAATGCAGAGGTGGGGGACAGAGTGGGTGGGGAGGGGAGCCGCCATACAGTGGCCAGGACCAGCTTTGCCCAAGTGGTGGCAACCGCATGACCACAGGAACGATGGCGTGAGCCCCGTGGCAACCTGGAGGAAGGGTGTGCTGGGCAGGGGAGGGCGGTGCAAAGACCCCAAGAAAGAGAGTCTGGCCCATTGGCCAGCACGGCTGGAGTGTGGGGACAGGGCAGGGGTGTGCGGGGGAGACTGGAGTCCCAGGAGAGGCCAGGTTGCAGGGCATTGAGGGCCAGAGGAGGCACCTGGGCCTGTTCCATTCCCAACCCTCAGGATGGCCCACCCATTACCCACAGCTGCACGTGAACGTCCTTTGGCGCTGGCCTCCAGGGTGGGGAAACCAGGTTCCTGCAGAGAGGGGCAGATCTGAGTGTCCCCCGCCCTCGCCTGGGTGCACTCAGGGTCAGGCCTGGTGCCCGCAGAGTCCATCCCATGCCTCATTACCCCCGGCTGGCTGAGGCCCACCCTGGGCTCCTGGTGGGTGGGGGCACTTCTGTGAGCTCCACCACTGTGTCTGTGAGCCCAACCCCGACCAGCCCCCTCCAGCTTCTGGGGCCTGCAAGGAGGAGGAAGGCCAGGGTAGAGGGAATGGAGAGAGACTGTTCCATGCAGAGGGGTGAGCCACCTTCTGCGGTGGAGGCCAGGAGCAAGGATATGCTCTGAGCCTGGTCTGGGGCCCCTCCCCCACTTCCCACCTCCCAGCTCTTCCCTCCTAGAGACACCTTCTTTGTCTGCAGAGGCCACTGCTTTGATTCTGTTGTTGCTAGGTGATGGGAACTGGGGGGAGCAAAGAGTGGGGAACTGGGCAGGGTCTGGCGGGGCTGTGGTGGGGGAAGCTGAAGCATGAAGGCTCGAGGAGCACACAGACACCTACACACAGCTCCGCGGGCATGTGGGGACCCAGACCCACCCCCACAGCAGACACCCCCACAGAGCACTCATGGCCCCCACAGAAATACACCCACACTCATCACAGCAAACCAAAACAATCACACGCCGGTACACAAACACACACACCCCCGCACCAATCCAGGCAGACACAAAGCTCACGGCGACAGGCAGATCTGATTCACACAGACACAGGCACAGGTGCTTCCTGATGCCACCCTCTCTTGGTCACGTGCCAGCACTTGGAGGGAGGAAAGTGCCTCACCAGGCTGAGATGCCCAAGGGACCCCCCAGGGAGGGAAAGCAGGACACACTGGGACAGTTGCTTCCAGCCCTGTCCACACCCTTGTGCCCATCAGGTATGCCGCTCACCCCCACCCCACCTGGACCTTGGTGTCACCTAGGATTGCAGAGGCCGCCTTCAGCCCAGAGCCTGGGGCCTTGCCCACTGCCTCACCTCCCAGGATAGGGCATGCTGTTCCTTTCTCCTTCCCTTTCTTTGCTCTTGTGTGCCTGCCTTTAGCAAACGCCCACTGGGTGTGTGGGTACACTGCGGCCTTTAAAGAGAAGAGAAACACATGAGGCTTACAGCAGGAGGCCCTGCCTAGGTTCCAAGGGACATGGAGCAGGGTGGCTGTGTAGAGCTGGGGAGCATCCCAAGCCTGTGCCAAGGTTCCAAGGACAAAAAGGGCAAGGAGGCCCAGTGCGGGGTGGTGGGGGAGCAGCTAGCCAGGGCCAACAGTGAGCCTCGCGCCTGGGCAGGTGTAGCCTTTAAACGCGGTGGGGGAACCATGGACAGCATCTAAGCAGGGACGTGCCGTGAGTCCTGGGGGTGCAGGGGTGTCTAGAGGGGAAGCTGGGAAGCAGGGGTCACAGCTTTCCGACTGGTGGCTGAGTGTGGGGAAGACAGGAGGGGCAGGTGTGAGATGTACAGCAGACACAGCTGTGTGCTGGGGCATGGTGGGCTGTGGTGAGAGAGAGGAGCAGGTCTTCTCCCCGCGTGTTCAGAGCAGATCCAAACTCTTCTCCCATTCCTTCCTCCACCGTGCATCCTCAGCACCCCTCAGCACTGGCCTGTGTGGGCAGCGTGAGCACAGAGAGCAGGAGCTTGCCCTCAGAGGCTTCAGGGGGTCGCTTGTACCCAGTGGTATGGTCAGCATCATGTTTGACCAAAGGGAGGAAGGTGGCTGTGACCAGAGCGAGGGGGGGTCCTGATGCAGCTGGGGAGTCAGGCTCGAGTGCATGCTGTGCATGTTCTCTGCCTCTCTTCCTGGGGGGCAGGCGAGTCTCCAGAGCCTGGAGGACAAGTTAGCCTTGCGAAGGATAGCAGAGGACCCAGCCCAGGGGTCCCCAAAATGGAGCACCAACCCTCCATGCAGGCCAAGCCACTGGTGAATATGCTGCAAAAAATATGCTGGAACTTCTATGAATACCACAGGGTGTGAGAAGAAAACATTAGAACTTCTATTTTGTACCTGTGTTACTCCACAACAAGAAAGCAATCAGCTTGATCAATGCCTACTGTAAAGACGGCACCGCCCTCCGGAGGTCCTTTCTCAGCCCTGGTGTTCGGACAGCCACATCCCCTCGCAGCAGGGGGAGGCCTGAAGCATAGAGGGGCCCATGCAGGTCTATTCTGTTTCAGCGAATTGCCTGGGTAAGTGGATTTGTGGATTATAGTCTCTGGTTTTAATTAAACTAACCCTAACAAAATGAGCAAGTGGCTTAAGAAGTTTCATGTGAAGGAAATGTGTTTTGAAGATAATGGAAGCAAGAGCTTAAAACAAGAAATGGTAACTCGGCACTCTTCTTCACTCCTGGAAGGAGCCACTCAGGGTGCACAGTACTAGGTAAATACAGCGTCTATGGAATCGGCCCTGATGAGGAGTCGGACACAGAAATTACAACTCACCGAGAAGCCTGCTTGAAATGTGGTTTACATCCACGGCTGTGAACACAGGCCCCACCTGGAAGACGCCCCAGGGGGAGTAACAGGAGAAAAAGCAAGTGGCAGGACACAGTGTGCTTTATATCCCATTTATGAGAAAAACAAAATCGAGTTATGATATGTGTTAACACATGCACGGGACCTGGAGGCACGCGCATTACGCCAGCTTCTCTTTGAAGGGAGGCCAGCACTGTCACCATTGTGTGCCTCGGCTGATTTGAGTTATTACAGTGATTATGCATACAGTTACAGTGAGAGACACGATAAGGAATTTTTAAGCATCTAGGGTTTTTAAACCTTTTATTTTGAAATAATTTTAGATTTACTGAAGAACTAAAAGGTGGTGCAGAGAATTCCTGTCCCGTATGTTAACACATCACGTAACCGTGATACAACTGTCAGAACTAAGGAATAACTGTTGCTGTGCCACCGTGAACTAGAGTTCAGATATCTCCAGCATTTCCACTGATGTCCTTTTTCTGTTTCAGGAAATAATCCAGGATCCATTTCGTGTGGTCATCTTGTCTCCCTGGTCCCCTCCAGCCTTTCCTCATCTTTTGTGACCTGGTCACTCTGGAAGGGCGCTGGCCAGTTAGTCCACAGGATGGGCCTCCCCTGGGGCTTTTCTGATGCTTCCTTATGATGGCACTGGCATCCTGAGGGGGAGGACCACAGAGAGGAGGTGCTCCTCATCACACCACATGGGGGTCCATGCACCAGTGCCACTGCTTTCCAGGGCTCTTCACCTTCATCACTGGTGGAGGTGGCGTCTGCCAAGGTATCCACTGTCCGTTGAGTTGTATCTGGAGTTCAAGCAGGGGACGGTTTCACAGGGCAGGGATCAGGAGACAGGGAGAGAGGCAGCCAGGCCAGGTCACAGGAGACCTTGACTGTGGCATGTGAAGAGGGCTAGGCAGATGCGGTGAGGTCAGCGTTGAACTTCTAAAGTCTCAGTGGTGTCTTTGGGAGAGAGGGTTGCCAGGGCAAGGGAGGAAGCTGGGGTCCAGCCAGGCCAGAGTAGTGTTGTCAGGTGATGGGGAGGAAGACAATTCAAGGGCAAGGGAGGAGGTGAGACCTAGAGGGATTGGCGTCAGGCACCCCACGCAGTGCTTCTCTCACTTGCAGAAGCAGAAAGTTGAGGCTTAGAAGGTGCACGGCCCTACCTCTTCCGAGGTGCCCCTGCGGGCTGTCTACAGACCAGGCAGCACATGCCTGATAGCAGCTGCATAAGGAAAAGCAGGAGCCAGCTCGTGCACAGTGGCCTCAAGTGTGCACTGGGCATGTTCTCTGCCTCACCATCCCTGTGTGACAGATGAAGGTACAGGGGGCCCGGGATGGGAGGACACTGGCCCAGGTGGCAGTTGGGGCAGAGGGCCCTCGAGCCCGAGACTTTTCCCCAGGTCCTGCAGGCCCTGTGCCAAGGCAGCCAAGCTGCCTCCTCTGTCCTGGGCCTCCAACCCCTCCAGCCCTCTGCCCACTTAAAAGTAGGGGAGCCTTAGCTACTTGGGAGGCTGAGGCATGAGAATCGCTTGAACCCGGGAGGCGGAGGTTGCAGTGGGCCGAGGTCGCGCCACTGCACTCCAGCCTGGGTGACAGAGTGAGACTTTGTCTCAAAAAAAAAAAAAAAACAAAAAAATAGGGAAGTCTTTTGGCCCAGGTGGGGATGGCGTGAACAGGAGGGGAGCTCTGTTCTAGGTGCCTGGGTGACAAACCACTCCAAGCCTAGAGGCCTAAAACAGCAGCCATTTTCTCCTGCTCTCCAAGTCTGTGGGTCACGAATTCAGCCAGAGAGCGTCAGGGTGCTTCCCCTCTGTTCCGCATGTCCCAGAAAGCTGGGGAGACTGAAGGCTGGGTGGTGACCCTGGTGACTCAGGCTACTGGGGGCTGCAGGGACCTAGAGGCTTCCTCATACCCAAGCCTGGCACCGGGGCTTGAGTGAAAGCTGACATAGCCTCTCTGGGTGGCTTGGCCCTCCTCACAGCATGGCAAGCCAGGCTCCAGAGAAGCATCCTGAGGACCAGTGTTCCTAGGGACCTCATTCTTCTGACCTCATTCCTACAACGTTTTGTCACTGCAAAGGAAATCACCAAGGCCAGGTCAGGTTCAAGGCCAGGGGCATGGGGGCGGGGAAGTTAGAGGCCACTCTTTGGCAGGGACAAGACAAGGTCAATGCCATGGTCTGTTTGTCCCCAAAGCTTGTGTTGAAATGTGGTGGTGGTGGTGGTAGGTGGGGCCTAGTGGGGGGTGTTTATGTCATGAGGTCTTCCCTCATGAGTGGTTGGTGCTGTTCTAGGCCGTGAGCAAGTTCTCACTCTGGTGAGGCTGGATGAGTTCTCATGGGAATAAGTTAGTTCCCTCGAGAGAGGTTTGTTATAAAGCCAGACACCTCTCAGTTTACCACCCTTCATACTTGCCCACTTTCCCTTTGACCCTGGCCATGTTATGAAGCAGCATGACAGCCCTCAACAGAAGCCAAGGCCAAGTCCTCGAACTTCCTAGTCTGCACAATGGTGAGCTAAAGGACCCTCTTTTCTCTATCAATGATCCAGCCTCAGGTACTCTTTCATAGCAACACAAAACGGAGTAAGACAGTCACACTGCAAAAGCGTGTGCGGGATGGGAGGTGCTGTGTGGTCGCCTCTGGAAATGTGATCTGCCCCATGGTCCTTCAGCCCTGTGTCTGGTGTGACCCTGGAGGTCCCTGCACCCAGGGCCACAAAGCTACTGCATCTCCCCTACACCCACCACCACTGTGCAGTGCTGGTCCAATCCATTATTTTGTGCTCCAGCCTCGGTTTCCCCATTCAATTCCCCACAGTGACCTGAAGGCCAGACCCTGTCCCTGACTGGATCTCTGTATTCAACTAGGGACAGGCAAACTCCTACCCCCTGAGAGGGTGACCTCAGAATCAGTTCCCCAAGTTCCAGTTCCAGTTTGCCCCTGGCCTGCCACACTGCCTGGAACTGGCTGCCTCTCCTCCATGAGGCTCAGCCTCTCGGAGGCCACCCACAGGCCTGGCAGTGAGTGCCTCCCTGTGTTTTTTATGGAGGATGCCTCTTTTGTCTCCCCTTGTCCCAGCCTGCACAGTGCCCTCCCTTTCCACACCCCCATGCCACCCTTGGCTGAAACTGGGTGGACAGGCCAGCCCTAGGCTTATGCCCCACTCTGACACCCCACTGGGCTCTATCTCAGCCCTGAACCCAGGTCTGCCAAATTCTATTTTGGTTTGTATATAGTGCGTTTGACAGCATCTCTTTGTGCAGATTTTTCAGTGGTCATTCCAGGTATTAGATTATACATATATAACTTATCACAGTTAGCTGATGTTGACATTTTATCAGTGGGGGGGGGGGGGGGGGGAAGAGGAGAAACCTAAGTCCTTCACTTTCCCTGTTCTCTCCCCCTGTATAACAATTCTTTTTAGTATTTCCTCTACATACGTTGGCAATCACATCATTCAGTGTTATAACTTTTGCTTCAATTGTCAAGCATAATTTAGAAAACTCAAGAGATGAGGTCTATTGTCTCTATCTATATTTTGTTGACTGTGTTCTTCCTTCCTTACACTTTGAGATTCCTTCTTTTCTCATTTTATTTGTTTGGCAAACTTCCTTTAATCACTCCTTTTGGGTAGGTCTGCTGGTGACAAAGTCTCTGTTTTTTTTTTCTTCTGAAGATGTCTTGATTTCCTCTTGATTTCTGAAGGATATTTTCACTGGATGTAAGATTCTGGGCTGAGAGTTCTTTTCTTTCAGCTCTTGAAAATTGCTGTGCCACTTCCTTTTGGTCTCCATGGTTTCAGTGAGAAATCTGCTGTCATTAAAATGGTTTTCCCTTACAGGTAAGATGCTGTTTCTTTTTTCTCTCTCTCTGTCGCCCAGGCTGGAGTGCAGTGGCACAATCTCGGCTCACTGCAACTTCTGCTTCCTGGGTTCAAGCGATTCTCCTGCTTCAGCCTCCCGAGTAGCTGGGACTACAGGCGCGTGGCACCATGCCCGGCTAATTTTTTGTATTTTTAGTAGAGATGGGGTTTCACCGTGTTAGCCAGGATGGTCTCGATCTCCTGACCTCGTGATCTGCCCGCCTCATCCTCCCAAAGTGTTGGGATTACAGGCGTGAGCCACCGCACCCAGCCTGTTTCTGTTTTTTTTTTTTTTTTTTGAGGTAGAGTCTCTCTCTGTCTCCCAGGCTGGAGTGCAGTGGTGCGATCTTGGCTCACTGCAACCTCTGCCTGTCAGATTCAAATGATTCTCTTGCCTCAGCCTCCCTAGTAGCTGGGATTATAGGCATGCGCCATCACACCTGGCTAATTTTTGTATTTTTAATAGAGACGGGGTTTTGCCATGTTGGCCAGGCTGGTCTTGAACGCCTGACCTTAAGTGATCTGCCCTCCTCGGCCTCCCGAAGTGCTGGGATTACAGGCGTTAGCCATGGCGCCTGGCCAAGATGTTTTTTTCTTGCCACTTTCAAGATTTTTGTCTTTGTCTTCAGTTTTCCGAAGTCTCAATAGAAGGTGTCTTGGCATAGGTTTGCTTTGATTGATGCCATTTGGGGTTTGCTCAGGTTCTTGAATCTGTAAATTTATGTCTTTTGCCAAATTTAGGAAATTTCTAAACATTATTTCCTTGAAAATCTTTTCAGCTCCACCCTCATCTTTCTTCCTTTCTGGGTCTCTCACGACATGGATGCTAGGCCTTTTGTAATAGAGAGACCAAAATATAGACCAAAATGTATATAGGCCAAAATATACATACCCGAGATTCTGCTCATTTTTATCTAAGTCTATTTTTTGCTTTGTTGTTCAAATTAAGTAATTTCTATTATTTTATCTTTAGGTTCACTGACTCTTCCCTCCAGCCTCTCTGTTCTGGCGTTGAGCCATCCACTGAGTTAATTTTGGCTGTTGCGTTTTCAACCCTGAGTTCCCATTTTGTTCCTCTTTGTGGCTTGTTTCTCTGCAGAGATTTTCTATTTTCTCACTTGATTCTGTTGTGTTTGCCGTTGAGCATTTTTGTGATGGTGGCTTCAAATTGTTCAGATGATGCTGCTGTTGGTGTCATCCTGGGTTAGTCTCTGCATCTCTTCTCATCAGGGTCGGTGTTTTCCTGGATCCTGGTGTGGAGTGATTTGTGATTGAAGCCTGGATATTAGGGGTTATGTGGTGGGGCTCCTGGCCTTATTTAAACCTCTGTCTCAGCAGCCTCCTTTGAGGCCCGGCTGTGGTGGACTTCCTTGCCCCCAGCTGGGCTTCTCCAATACCTTCCCAAGGAGGGGTGGCATCTCAGTCAGTACATCTGGGTGAGGGTGGAGGTCTAGGCTCCCTCCTCAGTCTCTGCTGGCCAGGGTGGTGTGGGGCCTCGTCTTTTCCTGTGTGGTCTGATGGCGTAGGTCAGTTATCTTCTAAAGTTTTCCAGAATGCCCCTTGCCTGGCTAGAGGGAGCAGGTTTTTTTGGGGGATTGTTTTCTGAGCCTGTTGGTATTTCTAGGTTGCTGACTCTTTAGCACCCAGTTTGGCAAACACGAAGCAAAAAGATGGAACTCACCACCATGCTGTTGCCAGGTCCTGAGGCTCCCAGCTTGTGCTTCTCTGCACATGTTAGGGCCTCCTTGTATTCATTCTACACAGAATACCCATGACTTTTAGCTGTATTTGGTGGGGGGAAATAAGAAAAAGTACCTTGACTTCTTCCATCTTTCTGGTTGCAGCAGTTCCAGTGGGTAAAGCCCTTTGAAATTGCACACATACACCATCCTCTACGCCAGCCTCCTTCAAGATTCTGAGCTGTGCACTGCTGTTATTCATACTGTTTGTCTGCTCTAATTGTCCAATTCTTGTGAAAAGTCTAAACATGACCTTGGGTGATACCCTGGGGTGCATAGAGCAGAAAGCCAAGCTATAATGAGAGGTTCCTTGGATCTCAGAGGGTGGGCAGGGTCTGGAGGCAGGGCAGCTGGGATGGGGCTGGGCTGAGGTTTGGAGAGGCCTGGGTCCAGGCCAGACGAAAGCCAGTCCTTGGATCCACAAACACCCACAGCCAATCCATGCTAATTCTACGCATTCATGAGTTGTCCTCTAAAACTCTTCTTCCCAATTTCCTCCAAAACCCTCCATGTCATCTAGGCCAGGGTCTACTCTATGCCCCTTTGCTGTGCTCATGGAAACTTTTTTTTCTTAACTTCAAAGACAAGTGAGCTCATGGAAACCTCTCCATCGTTGACCAGGATCTATAGGAAAACCCTCCTCTTCTTCTATATGCAAAGGCTGCACAGCTCCTGGTTCACCTGCACCTCTCCAGACCACCATGGTGCCTGCAGCTCTGAGGGCATTTTAAATCATCACAGAACAACAAGCATATAAGCATCATGAGCGCCTCTGGACCTCTGACGTGCCTTGTGGAGGCCTGCCAGGCCCACGTTTTAATTTACATGAACTCGATGCCCTTTTTGACAGGGAGAGATCTGTTTCTTTATTTGTTAGCCTTTCCCCTGGACCTGCTAGATCTGGACCATCCCCAGGAAAGGAAGGTCACACCACAAAGATAAATATAAACAAAATGAGTTAATTAAGAAGGAGTTAGTCTGAAATTCAATATTCCCAAGAGTCCAAGCCCTTCAGTTCTAAGTGAATTTTTCTCCCCTGTAAAATAGAACTGTTGGGTACAGTGAGATTCCATTGTATATGGTCTCACTTAGAATTTGTCTCATTTCACATATGCAAACACTGAGGCTCTGTGAGGTGAGAGATCTGCTGCACTAGGTCCTGAAAGGCACAGCCAGTGAGCATTCAGCCCAGGGTACATCTGCTGGCTTCACAGTTGCCCTGCTATTCTGTGGTCCAATGTGGCTGCTCTAGCTCCAGCCATCACATCTGCATTCTTACCAGTGGGAAGGGCAAAGCATGACCTTTCTTTTTAAGACACGTTTGAAGTTGCATACATCATTTCTGCTCATGTTTCACTGGCCAGCATTTAAACGGATGGGCATACCTAGCTGCAGGGAAGGCTGTAGTCTTCATTCTGGGATGAAGTGTACCCAGCTAAAAGTCTAGAGTTTTATTTCTATGAGAGAAATTGAGCATGGATACTGGGGGACAATGAACCATTTCCACTTCATCTTCTAATAAATGTGACAAGTGCAATGCTTGTCATATATTGTGTATTGACTCAATTCAGAACACACTGGGCATCTACCCTGTATAAGGCCTTGGCTTGAGCTCAATGGCAGATACACATATGTGTGAGACCAAAGGGCACAGGGAGGCCAGAAAAGAGAACAAGTGACATTTATTGAAGACTTATCATGTCCTGGACCAGGAGCTTTGCATACATCATTGCTTTTAAGCTTTGCAACTCAGTAAATCTGCAGAAACTAAGTTCCAGAGAAATGAAGTGCGTCTTAGGTCTGTTTTCCAGGGAAAGAAACTGTGAGATGAAGATTTGCATTCAGGAAGTTTATTAGGGAGTAGGCTCAGGCTCGACACTGGTGAGGGAGTGAGGGAAGGAGGGCTGGGCAGAGGGAGAAGTTGATTGCGGGCAACAGAAGCCTCAGCCATTCCTACCTGAATGGCCCTTCAGAGTGGTTCTTAACTTCTAATTAAGGGGCCAGGACTCTGTACCCCCTCACCAGCCAGACATTGGATGTGGGATGCCTACCAAAGCCCCCTTCCTCCCCAGGAGGGGTGTGACCTTGGGCGAAGCGGCTGCTGCTATCCAAGGGCACTACCCAGGGACGCAGCTGTCAGGCTTCAGCCTTCAACACTCCCAAATACCTTGGTCCAGAAGGAGGGGTCTGGGCTGCAAAGGACAGTGTCTTCTAGAAAATGACACAATCAAGGTCACATAGCTGGGGGTTCAGAGCTGAGATTCCAGTTTAGTTTTGTCTTCAGAATCCACGTGACTCTTCATGTTCCTTGCTGCCTCCCAGGCAACTGCTCAGGGGCAGATGGGGCTGGCAGAGGAGGAGCCTGGAGGCTGGACCCTCCCCTGGCACATTGTCCCTGAGGACGGTTCAAGACAAGGTCCTCCTTCACAGCTCCGGGGCCCCATCTCACCCTCCTCTTCACTCTGCTCAGTGTGCTCTGGCCACACTGCCCTCTTCACCGCTCCTCTGATAGCCCACGCTCTCTCCAGATGCAGGTATGTCCACGCGCAGCTCCTTTCCCTGGGAGCACACCTCCTCCGGCATTCACACATGGGCTGCTCCCTGTCATTTGAGTCCCACTGAAATGTCACCTTCCCTGATCACCCTTTCGACATTGTCTCCCTGCCCCAGTCCCTCTGGTCCCTAGTAACTGTCATGCCAGCCCCCGGCATTTCGGAGCCCCTCTCTAAAATGATCTCCTTTCTTTAGACTTCATGTGCACACTCCGTCCCCACCAGCACATGAGCTCCGTGAGGGCAGGGATCTTGTCTGTCCTGCTCACCACGATCTCCCCAATGCCTAGCCCAGTGCCTGGCACATAGTAGGTGTTCAATAAATATGAGTTAGATAATGGAATGAATAAATAAATGCATGAAAAAGATATAAATCACCCTAATCCAGGGCAGAAAGAACTTGGGCCTGCGAGGGATGGCCCAGAGCTGGGGGGGTGTTTGAAGGGAGTGATTCCTTCCTTCCTGCTGCCCCAAGGAGATAGAGCAGTGTCAGCCTCAGTTTGCCCAGCTGTAATCAAGGGGATGAGGCTGGCTTCCCACCTCCTAGGAAGCCAGCCCCATCTGGGGTTCTTTCTTGGGTGGTGTGTGCAGTAGGGGAGCGTGTCAGTGCGGTTTCTCCTGAGGCCTCCCTCTCCTTGGCTTGCAGGTGGCTGTCTCCTCCTCCGGGGTCTTCACCTCGTCATTCCCCTTTGTGCGTCTGTGTCCAGATCTCTTCTTACAAGAACACCAGTTATATTGGGTTATGAGCCACTCGTTTTAACTTAAGTACCTCTTTACTGACTCTGCAGGAGTCCCCCTGATCTGCAAGGGGTGCTCCAAGACCCCCAGTGGATGTTGGAGACTGTGGATAGTACTGAACTTCCCCCCATGTACAAACCTATGATAAAGTTTAATTTATGAATTAGGCACAGTGAGAGATTAACAATAGCAACCATGAATACAATAGAACAATAACAGGACATACTGTTATAAGGGTTATGGGAGTGTGGCTTCTCTTACTCCAAACGCCCGATTGTGCCTCACTCACTCTTTCTGTGAGGCTGTGAGATGACACAATGCCTTCGTGAGTGAGTGACGTGGGCACTGTGACATAGTGTCAGGCTGCTGCCAACCTTCTGATGATACGTACGTCAGAGGGAGGGTCACCTGCTGTGGTTACCCTGGACCATTGAGCCGTGATGACACTGCAGGCTGGATGTCAGGAGCAGACGATGTTGATGACTCACAGATGGGGGAGTTGCAGGTACAGCATAAAGACGCTGGACAGTGGGATGATTCACACCCAAGCTGGATGGGGCTGCACTCAGCGAGATTTTTCAGTCTACTCTGAACGGTGTGCAATTTAAAACTTATGAATAGTTTGTTTCTGGAATTTTCTTTCTTCCTTTTTTTTTTTCCTTTTTGTTTGAGACAGGGTCTTGCTCTGTCACCCAGGCTTAAGTGATCCTCCTGGGCTCAAGCGATCCTCCCGCCTCTGTCTTCTGAGTAGCTGGGACCACAGGCACACGCCACCATGTCGGGCTAGTTTTTAGATTTTAAACTTTTTGTAGAGATGGGGTCTCACTATGTTGCCCAGGCTGTGGCATTTTCCATTTAATATTTTCAGACGTGATTGACCGTAGGTAACTAAAATTTCAGAAAGCAAAACAGCAGAGAAGTGGGAACTACTGCATCTCCAAGTGCAGTCCCATTCTGAGGTACTGGGCATAGAGTTCAGTGTGTAAATTTGGGGGCCACCATGCACTCTGCGAGATGGGGTGCCAGACCATCCCCAAGACTGGGAAAAGCAGGAAGCCCTGGCACTTCCCATGTATTTATTTATTTGGAGGATCTTGGCATACTAAAAAATAAAGGCATGTCTCAATGGTTTTAAGAAATTGATCTATATTTTAAGTGGTTACTTTAATAAGTTAGTACTTTAAACAAATAATGCACCACAATTGTACAAATCACAAGATAATTGCAATATTATTAACAAAAATGTTCATTTAGCGCATTGTCTGGTCTGGCCATGGGACATAACTTTTCAGTTTTGCGATGAGCGGCTTTGTCTTTTAATCTTATCATGCGTCTCCACATTCAGGGATGAAATATTCAAACTTCTGCTCACCTCCTTTTCTGCAGCTTGAGAAGCCTCTGCCTGGGTGCGCAGCCCCACAGCCCAGCCTCTGCAGAGTGGGAGGGGAGCCAGGCCCTGCTTGGGTAGCATTGCCATGGCAACCTCTCCCCACGCTGCTCCTCGCTGAGACCCGGGCATCTGTGGCCATGGCGACTGGGCCTGCCACTGGCACATCTGCATAGCAACCAGAGAGGGTGCCGAGCGCAGCTGGGCCCCGCTCAGGAAAACAGGTACACTCAGAGCTTTTATCAGTCATTAAGGAGAAGCTGGGAGCCTCTATGGGGAGAAAGGACAAAGGATGCAGACAAAAGACTTGGAACCGCAAGTGGCTAATAAATCTATGACAAGTGCCCAACATTACCAGCGATCATAGAAATGCAAATGCAAACAACAATAAGATACTTAAAGAAAAACAACAACAACTAGTGCAATTGGCAAGAGATGAGGCACAAAAGAGATAGGACCCAGTGTTGGCGGGGGGTGTAGGGAATGGGGACTCGAACACCCTGCTGGTCTGAGTGCACATTCATGGAACATTTCTGAGAAGGCAATTTGCAATCTGTATCAAAAGCCTTTAAAATGCACATACCTTTTGAACCAACAATTCTAGTTGTAGTAATTTATTCCAAGGTAATAATTAAGTGAGTAAAGATTCAGCTCCAAGTGTGTTCCCTGTAGGGGCAATTATAATACAAAAACTTTGAAACAACCACAATCTGAAAAAAAAAAAAAAAAGAATTGATTAAATCATCTATTTTGCATTCATACAAGGGAGTGCTATGCAACCTTTAAGAAATGTTATAGAAGACTACTTAGAGGTGCAGAACGATAGTTACAATAGAATATTAAGCAGAAAAGCAACAGATTATGAAACAGATGTATAGTGCTGCTCAGGGCCCTCCTACCAACACCTTCAGTCCTCAGCACCCTCTGCATCCAGGGGAGGGTGTCAAGACTCAGCAGAACACTGCCCAGGGTTCCTAGAGAGCGCGACCAGAAGTTTCTGTGCACATGAACGCA
Source organism: Homo sapiens (assembly GCF_000001405.40). Lineage (NCBI taxonomy): Eukaryota > Metazoa > Chordata > Mammalia > Primates > Hominidae > Homo > Homo sapiens. The sequence continues at coordinate 127,523,601 of NC_000003.12, read as the reverse complement.
CGTCTGAGTGTACATCTTGGGGAGAAGCACAGTCCAGAGCTGCGGGCCTGGGAAGCCCAGGTTGTCTCCTGACACCACCTAATTGTGTGACTCACGGATAGCCCTTCCTGGAGAGCTTGTCAGATTGGGGTAGTCATTGCTGCACTGGCCATCCCATCCCAGGGTATTCCCAAGCCAAATACCATCTCTTAGTTGGGTCAAGAGGATAAACCATGAAGAATCAAATAATGTTTTCAAGGCAACAGATTTGGAGCCTTGCCTGCATGAGGAAAATCAACTTCAACATAAGGCATTTTTTAAAAATTCAAAAACTTTTCAGTTGTAGTAAAATGCACATAACAAAATTTTTCATTTTGACCATTGTTAAGTGTAAAACTCAGTGTGCAACCATCATCACCATCCGTCTCCAGAACTTTTTTCTCTTCCCAAACTGAGACTCTGTACCTATTAAACACTAACTCCCATTTCTCCTCCCACCAGTCCCCCTAGCAACCACCATTTTACTTTCTGAATCTGACCACTCTAAGGACCTCATATAAGTGGAATCATATATAGTGTTTGCCCTTCAGTGACTGGTTTATTCACTTAGCACAGTTTTCAGGGTTCATCCATGTTGTAGCATGTGTCAGAGTTTCCATCCCTTTTAAGGCTGAATATTTAACATTCTGTTGTGTTCATATACTATATTTTGTTAATCCATTCCTCTGACAATGGACACTTGGATTGCTTCCATCTTTTTGCTGTTGTGAAGATTGCTGCTGTGAACATGGGTGTGCAATTATCTCTTTGAGACTCAATGTAAGACTTTTCTGATGAAGATCCATCCCGTGGAGTGAAGCTAGAGAGGCTGTCAGGGATGGGCTTTTCTATCTCCATGTGGAGAAGTTGTCGATGTAAGGATCAGTTGGAGAAGAGCAAGGCAAACCAAGAGACACACATGAAGGAAATGGCATTCATCCAGACAGAAGCGCCAACTCACCAGAGAGCTGGGAAGACAGTGAGGTGGAGGAAAAGAGTTTTGTGTGTCTTGTCTTCCTACTCACATACTCAATGTGTTCACAGATTGGAGCATAACTTAAACAGTTATCAGAAAAGTAAAGAGTGAGAAGCCATGTAGAAATAATGAGAGTGAGAAACCTCTCAGAGCATTCACTTTATTTGCCTAAAAGAACTCAAATAGAAGACAAACCCTGTGGATTTTACAGACAGTGTTCAATTTGGCAGCCACAGTACACATATGCATGAGACAGTTCTTAGGGAGGGAAAATATTGCATGCAGAGTCTGTGGGCAAGTGTGGAGCTGTGGTATACCCCTCAGTGGATGCCAGAGAATTTGTGTGGAAGAAAGTCTACGTGCATGATATGTGAAGTCTTTTGTACTACTTTTGTACTACTATCTTCATGTTGGTATGTACACACTTTTCTGGCTCCTGCTAGCTCGTGGGTTATCTCCTCTATCTCTATTTGTGTTGAGCTCTTGTATCTACTTTCTACTCTTGTTTTATACTGGCAGGGACTTCATTACACTTTAGTAATTTATAAAGTAAAATTTGGTATCTATATTCTGTTGCTCAGGAGTGATATATTTTCTAATGAATGATACGTATCTGCCATTTGTTTTCTGTGACATTTTTCATTTTTTAGCTATTTCAATACCTGTATTAAAATAACTAAAATATGAGATAACTTTAGTACCTTATCTAGTACCCAACTGCAGTCATGTGTCACTTAACAATGGGGATATGTTTTGAGAAATGCATCCTTAGGCAATTTCATCATTGTGCAAAGAGTGTCCTTATACAACTTAGATGGCATAGACTACTACACAGCTAGGCTACATGGGATAGCCTGTTGCTCACAGGCTACAAACCTGTACAGCATGTGACTGTACTGAGTACTGTGGGAAATTGTAACATAGCAGCGTTTGTTTACCTAAACACGGCTAAACATAGAAAACAGACAGTAGGCTGGGCCCGGTGGCTCACGCCTGTAATCCCAGCACTTTAGGAGGCCGAGATGGCTGGATCACCTGAGGTCAGGAGTTTGAGACCAGCCTGACCAATATGGTGAAACTCCATTTCTACTAAAACTACGAAAATTAACCTGGTGTGGTGGCAGGCGGCTGTAGTCCCATAGTCCCAGCTACTTCGGAGGCTGAGACAAAATAATTGCTTGAACCTGGGAGGCAGAGGTTGCAGTGAGCTGAGATGGCACCACTGCACTCTAGCCTGGGCAACAGAGTGAGACTCTGTCTAAAAAAAAAAAAAAAAAAAAAGAAAACAGTAAAAATAAATATGGTATAAAAGATAAAAATGCGAATACCTGTATAGGGCAGTTACCATGAATGGATCTTGCATGCCATGAATGGATCTTGCAGGACTGGAAGTTGCTCTGGGCGCGTCAGTGAGTGAGTGGTGAGTAAACATGAAGGCCTGGGAATTACTGTGCACTACTGTAGACTTCGTAAACACTGGACACTTAGGCTACACTAAATTTACAACAAATATTTTCTTTCTTCAATAATAAATTAACTTTAGCTCACTATAACCCTTTTACATTATAAACTTTTAAATTTAACTTTTTGACTTTTTTGTGATAACACAGCTTAAAACAAACACATTGTACAGCTGTACAAAAATATTTTCTTTCTTAATTTTTATTTTCTTTTTAGAGACAAAGTCTTGCTCTTCTTTCCAGACTGGAGGGCAGTGGTGCAATCATGGCTCACTGCAGCCTCGATCTCCTGGGCTCAGCCTCCTGAGCAGCTGGAATTATGTGGCACCTGACTGTATTTTTGATTACTTATCTCTGTGTAAGGCCATTTTCCATGGAGTAGTGATTGTTGGAGGTTCGATGGTGGAGAGCCAGTGTCGCACCCAGGACTGCTGTCATCGATGTGTGTGGAGCCCTCAGAGCCAACTCCTTCCACCTGGCAGAGCAGCCACCTGAGGTTCTGGTCTTTCCCATCCAGCCATATGGCCTGGGGTGCTTGCTGCAAATGTGTTTTCCCTTCCTTTGAGATTGGCCAACCCACTGTTTGTCAGACACAAACTAAGTACAAGGAAGATAATGCATTTCTTTCTACATTCAAAAGGGATTTGGTCTTACGGTTAAGGCTTTTGGTTCTGTCTTGGATACACGTACCTTGTCAACTCTTTCTGGTCCCCATAGCCATGGGCACTTTATGTTTTCGCCTACACTCCTGCTAAATTTTTCTGCTTTTTATACTTCACCTATTTTTTGGTTTGGCGTTTCAGCTAAATCATAGCTCTGAGCAAGGAGAAGTTTGATTTTCTTGCTATTTCTGAGAGATTTCATTGAGAAGGGAAGAACATCAGCTTAATGGGGCTGTTTTCAAAAGTCTTGTTAGCATTTTGAAATTTGATAACAATTTTGCTTCAAATCATTATCATCCAGTCCATATATCTTATTTGGCATAGGTGACACATTCATACCTACATCTTTAGAAAATATAAATTTCAGCCAGGTGTGGTGGCTTATGCCTGTAATCCCAGCACTTTGGGAGTCAGAGGCAGGCGGATCACCTGAGGTCAGGAGAGTTCGAGACCAGCCTGGCCAACATGGTGAAACCCCATCTTTACTTAAAATATAAAAAAATTAGCTGGGCATGGTGGTGCACGTCTGTAATCCCAGCTACTCGGGAGGCTGAGGCAGGAGAATCACTTGAACCCAGGAGGTGGAGGTTGCAGTGAGCTGAGATCACGCCATTGCACTCCAGCCTGGGCAACAAGAGTGAAATTCTGTCCCCGCCACCTGCTCCCCACCAAAAACAAGAAAATGTAAATTCCAAGAAAAAAATTCCAGGTTGTTCCTTGAGGTTAAATGTAAATGGTACTGTTTCACCTTAGAAGACTGGGTGATTTCATCACTGCATAGCATGTTACTATTTTCATACTCCAGCAATCTGGCTTCTTAGTTCGAAAGCTCAGGAACCAACTTCAGCAGATATGCTCAGAAATAGAACTTGTTAAAAGGATACTGGGTACCTCAGAGATTTACAAAAAAATCTACATAATCATTTTCATTTTCAGGGCCAAACCTTTGGACATCACTCCCAGAATCCTGCTGTGGAACCTGGGACTGTGCCTTGGCCCCCAATCTGTGCATGTGGGTCTGGCAAAGCCTGGATCATGTGCCCTTGCTGGAGGGAGGTCACCAAGTGAGATCCCAGGGTCCTCAGCTGCTTCCAAAGCAGTGAGCGGGCTCTGCCTCCCAACCAAAACCCATGGGGTGGTGACTTGCCACTCATAAGAGGGTGATTTATTTGCTAAGCAGCAAAACAAACGAACAAATAGACAGCATGCACTTTCTTTTCAAACTTTCACACATTTAAATATACATGTGGGTGCGAGCTAATGCAGTACAACTTCCTTATTACTGAACTGACTCTCCCTTTAAAAAGAAGGTCTCCCAAAGTTTCAAAAGGTGAGAGTCTATGTCCAAGGTCAGCATCTCAAAAACATGCCCATCCCTTCTATGGTGAAATTTCTTCAAACACAGAAAAAAGATTCAGATGCTGAGTATCCAAAAAGAATGGAAGAGTCATAAAACCAGGTCTCATTACCAGTCTGAAGGCAAGGCTTTGGGTGGGCCTTTCTAGCATATTTTTTTGGATACTTTCTTTAAAAGAGTTGCTATAAACTGTAAGCAAGTTGGTGAAGGAGTAAGTTGTTCACTGGCTCAGATGATTTTCATCCTTGCTTGTATTTCGTTTTGCATCTGACACAATCGGCAACTTTGTCTTTACTATAAGAATTATTTTGTTCCATAAAAACCATCATTTGACTTTTCCTAGGAAGTTCTTGGTGCTATAAGAATAAGATAGAATAGCTCATGTTACAGCAAAAAGACAGATGAACCTGTAACCCACTGGGGGTGTGACTGCAGTCATGATGGTGTCTAAGGTAGCTGAGTCACCTGTTCTTTCGTCTTAACATGTGCTTTGTTCTCCTGAATATTCACCCTAAGGCATGAAGTTCTCTGTGATGGCTTCTTCCCTCCCCCAGTGATAATTCCTGGGACCCAGATGTTAGGTCAAGTTCTTGAAACTTGGCCATCCCCTTGGCTTCTCCTTCTTTTCCCAGGTGGTATAAGTTCACGCTCTGATGGTGTTGACTTAGTCCTGGTTTGTTGATATCTGGGAGGCCAAGTGCCCGGAGGTCCCAGTGGTCATGGTAGATATGGCTGGCATCTGACCATCAGTCATCTTCTGTCTCCCCCATGCACTGCTCTTGGGCTGTCCCCACTTGCCCGCCACCACCTCATGCCATTCCTTCTGAGAGGACAAGAACAGCACTACTCCTGACAGTCACTTTCTGAACATATGCTGCTTTTGATAGGGGTAACTTACTGACTCTACTGCTCTGGGAAAATATTGAGGTCTTGCCAACAACCTGGGCTGGTAGTGTACTCTCTTATAAAATATAATATGGGTTGTATTATAGGCTTGTAAGTGGGATGTGCTGAAATTCTGGTAGTGAGACTTGAGTCAACAACAAGGAACTAAGCTTACCTAGAGGCTGGAGGGAAATTTTGGTGAACTCTCAAAGGTGATTTGGAGAAAGCTGCTGTGTTCTCTTACATGGCAGTCTTCTTCTCGTGTATTTCCTTGTGCAGACCTGGGGCTGTGCTCAGGTGATGGCGAAGTGGAGGTCATCTGGGCCTGTGAGCAATGCAGCCACCTCCAAGGCACGTCCCTGAGGAAAGGGACGCTCAGTCCTTGTAGCATCCCATGCAGTGCATTCTCCATCGGCATCTGACATCTACTTGGGGTTCTACCACCCAGCTGGGAAGCTGGGGTGACTTGTATTTGGAATACTTCTCTTTGTTTTGCTGGGTAGAATCCAACTGTGTGTTTTTTTTTCCAATTCTTTTTTTTTTTATACTTTAAGTTCTAGGGTACATATGCACAACATGCAGGTTTGTTACATATGTATACATGTGCCATGTTGGTGTGCTGCACCTGTTAAGTGGTCATTTACATTAGGTATATCTTCTAATGCTATCCCTCCCCCTTCCCCTCACCCCATGACAGGCTCTGGTGTGTGATGTTCCCCACGCTGTGTCCAAGTGTTCTCATTGTTCAATTCCCACCTATGAGTGAGAACATGCAGTGTTTGGTTTTCCGTCGTTGGAATAGTTTGCTCAGAATGATGGTTTCTAGCTTCATCCATGTCCCTACAAAGGACGTGAACTCATCCTTTTTTATGGCTGCATAGTACTCCATGGTGTATATGTGCCACATTTTCTTAATCCAGCCTATCATTGATGGGCATTTGCGTTGGTTCCAAGTCTTTGCTATTGTGAACAGTGCCGCAAGAAACATACGTGTGCATGTGTCTTTATAGCAGCATGATTTATAATCCTTTGGGTATATGCCCAGTAATGGGATGGCTGGGTCAAATGTTATTTCTAGTTCTAGATCCTTGAGGAATCACCACCCTGTCTTCTACAATGGTTGAACTAGTTTACAGTCCCACCAACAGTGTAAAAGTGTTCCTATTTCTCCACATCCTCTCCAGCACCTGTTGTTTCCTGACTTCTTAATGATCGCCATTCTAACTGGTGTGAGATGGTATCTCATTGTGGTTTTGATTTGCATTTCTCTGACGGCCAGTGATGATGAGCATTTTTTCATGTGTCTGTCGGCTGCATAAATGTCTTCTTTTGAGAAGTGTCTGTTCATATACTTCACCCACTTTTTGATGGGGTTGTTTGTTTTTTTCTTGTAAATTTGTTTGAGTTCTTTGTAGATTCCGGATATTAGCCCTTTGTCAGATGGGTAGATTGTAAAAATTTTCTCCCATTCTGTAGGTTGCCTGTTCACTCTGGTGGTAGTTTCTTTTGCTGTGCAGAAGCTCTTTAGTTTAGTTAGATCCCATTTGTCAATTTTGGCTTTTGTTGCCATTGCTTTTGGTGTTTTATTCATGAAGTCCTTGCCCATGCCTATGGCCTGAATGGTATTGCCTAGGTTTTCTTCTAGGGTTTTTATGGTTTTAGGTCTAACATTTAAGTCTTTAATCCATCTTGAATTAATTTTTGTATAAGGTGTAAGGAAGGGATCCAGTTTCAGCTTTCTACATATGGCTAGCCAGTTTTTCCAGCACCATTTATTAAATAGGGAATCCTTTCCCCATTTCTTGTTTTTATCAGGTTTGTCAAAGATCAGATGGTTGTAGATGTGTGATATTATTTCCGAGGGCTCTATTCTGTTCCATTGGTCTATATCTCTGTTTTGGTACCAGTACCATGCTGTTTTGGTTACTGTTGCCTTGTAGTAGAGTTTGAAGTCAGGTAGCATGATGCCTCCAGCTTTGTTCCTTTGGCTTAGGATTGTCTTGGCAATGCAGGTTATTTTTTGGTTCCATATGAACTTTAAAGTAGTTTTTCCAATTATGTGAAGAAAGTCATTGGTAGCTTGATGGGGATGGCATTGAATCTATAAATTACCTTGGGCAGTATGGCCATTTTCACAATATTGATTCTTCCTATCCATGAGCATGGAATGTTCTTCCATTTGTTTGTGTCCTCTTTTATTTCGTTGAGCAGTGGTTTGTAGTTCTCCTTGAAGAGGTCCTTCACATCTCTTGTAAGTTGGATTCCCAGGTATTTTATTCTCTTTGAAGCTATTGTGAATGGGAATTCACTCATGATTTGGCTCTCTGTTTGTCTGTTATTGATGTATAGGAATGCTTGTGATTTCTGCACCTTGATTTTGTACCCTAAGACTTTGCTGAAGTTGCTTTTCAGCTTAAGGAGATTTTGGGCTGAGACGATGGGGTTTGTAAATATACCATCATGTCATCTGCAAACAGGGACAATTTGTCTTCCTCTTTTCCTAATTGAATACCCTTTATTTCTTTCTCTTGCCTGATTGCCCTGGCCAGAACTTCCAACACTATGTTGAATAGGAGTGGTGAGAGAGGGCATCCCTGTCTTGTGCCAGTTTTCAAAGGGAATGCTTCCAGTTTTTGCCCATTCAGTATGATATTGGCTGTGGGTTTGTCATAAATAGCTCTTATTATTTTGAGATACGTCCCATCAATACCTAGTTTATTGAGAGTTTTTAGCATGAAGGGCTGTTGAATTTTGTCGAAGGCCTTTTCTGCATCTATTGAGATAATCATGTGGTTTTTGTCTTTGGTTCTGTTTATATGATGGATTATGTTTATTGATTTGTGTATGTTGAGCCAGCCTTGCATCCCAGGGATGAAGCCAACTTGATTGTGGTGGATAAGCTTTTTGATGCACTGCTGGGTTTGGTTTGCCAGTATCTTATTGAGGATTTTTGCATCGATGTTCATCAGGGATATTGGTCTAAAATTCTCTTTTTTTTGTGTGTCTCTGCCAGGCTTTGGTATCAGGATGATGCTGGCCTCATAAAATGAGTTAGGGAGGATTCCCTCTTTTTCTATTGATTGGAATAGTTTCGGAAGGAATGGTACCAGCTCCTCTTTGTGCCTCTGGTAGAATTCGGCTGTGAATCCATCTGGTCCCGGAATTTTTTTGGTTGGTAGGCTATCAAGTATTGCCTCAATTTCAGAACCTGTTATTGGTCTATTCAGGGATTCAACTTCTTCCTGGTTTAGTCTTGGGAGGGTGTGTGTGTCCAGGAATTTATCCATTTCTTCTAGATTTTCTAGTTTATTTGCATAGAGGTGTTTATAGTAGTCTCTGATAGTAGTTAGTATTTCTGTGGGATCAGTGGTGATATCCCCTTTATCATTTTTTATTCCATCTATTTGATTCTTCTCTCTTTTCTTCTTTATTAGTCTTGCTAGCGGTATATCAATTTTGTTGATCTTTTCAAAAAACCAGCTCCTGGATTCATTGATTTTTTTGAAGGGTTTTTTGTGTCTCTATCTCCTTCAGTTCTGCTCTGATCTTAGTTATTTCTTGCCTTCTGCTAGCCTTTGAATGTGTTTGCTGTTGCTTCTCTAGTTATTTTAATTGTGATGTTAGGGTGTCAATTTTAGATCTTTCCTGCTTTCTCTTGTGGGCATTTAGTGCTATAAATCCAACTGTGTTTTTAAATATAAAATTTGGGCTTGGCGTGGTGGTTTATGCCTGTAATCCAAGCACTTTGGGAGGTAAAGGTGGGAGGATTGCTTGAGCCCAGGAGTTTGAGGCCAGCCTGGGCAACATAGTGAGACCCTGTTTTTACAAAAATAAAAAATTTAGCGGGGTGTGGTGGCACATACCTGTGGTCCTAGCTACTTGGGAGGTTGAGGTGGGAGGATCACTTGAGCCCAGGAGGTTGAGGCTTCAGTGAACTATGATGGCACCACTGCACTCCAGCCTGGGTGACAGAGTGAGACTTTGTCTCAAAAAAAAAAAGAAATATATATTTAAATATATATATTTATATATACATATATATATATGTGTGAGTGTGTGTGTGTGTGTGTATATATATATATATATATATATATATATATATATATATATAGTAAAAAACCCCCAAAACACCCAAGATGTACAGTGTGATTTTATTTTGGTTAAAAAAAGTGAACACATGCATAGAAAAAAACTATTAGAAGGATATATACCAAAATGTTAACAATGGTTATCTCTGGGTGGCAGAATACCCATGATTTTATTTTGTTTCTCTCCTGTTTTCTAAATGCTTACAGTGAACTTGTACTGCTTTTGCAATAAGAAAAAAAAATAAAAACCATTTAGGAATTATCAATATTTGAAAATGTAGACCTGTACACCAATAAATTAAGGAAGGATTTATTCACTTTATGAGAGAGAATTTTAGACTTCAGGGGGTTCTCAGTTCTGTGAATACAATAGGAACTTGATAAATATTTGCTGAATCAATTAATAAATGAATTTGCTCTGGGGTTTTCTTTACGTGGCAGGCTCCCCAGTGTATTTCAGGTGAAATCAATTTACAAGAACATGATTTGCACATTTCCCTGGAACACTATACACTATCCATTGTGTAAAGGAGAAGATCAGATGAAAGGAAGCGTTTTGGTTTCTGTTCTGCCCCTGGTTATAGTCCTGGCCCTTTCCCCTGTGCCTGGCCCTCATGATCAGTTTCTTTTTTTTTTTTGAGATGAAGTCTCGCTCTTGTCCCCCAGGCTGGAGTCCAATGGCGTGATCTCGGCTCACTGCAACCTTCGCCTCCCAGGTTCAAGTGATTCTCCTGCATCAGCCTCCCAAGTAGCTGGGATTACAGGCACCTGCCACCACACCCGGCTAATTTTTGTATTTTTAGTAGAGACGGGGTTTCATCATGTTGGCCAGGCTGGTCTCGAACTCCTGACCTCAGGTGATCCACCCACCTCGGCCTACCAAAGTGCTGGGATTACAGGCATGAGCCATTGCGCCTGGCCATGATGAGTTTCTTTAACTAAAAAGGGGAATAATAGTCACCTGCTCTCAGGGTACTTTAATGTTCGTGAAAAACTTTTAGCAAGTGTAGGCTTGATGTAAGGCAGGTAAGCCCTAGAATTGGGTCTTAGCCTGAGAAGTTTCCTGGCTTTGCTTGGAGAGAATTCAAGAGTGAGCCAGTGGGAGAAGAAAACAGCTTTACTGAGGTGGCAGTATTAGAGCTCTGTGACTGCTCCTGAAGAGCAGGGCTGCCCCTAGGCAGTGTATGGAGAGCAGCAGCTCAGGGGCAATTCTGCAGTCATATTTATACCCATGTTTAATTACATGCAAATTAAGGGGTGGGTTATTCAGAATTTTCTAGAAAAAGGGTGGTAACTTCTGGGTCATTGCCATGGAAAGGGGTGGCAACTTCTGGGTACTGCCATGCAATTGTAGACTGATATGGCACTGGTAGGCGTGTCTTATGGAAAGGTGCTTTTGCCTCTCTCCTGTTTCAGCTAGTCCTCAATCTGGTCTGGAGTCTGAACCCCACCTCTGGAGTTGAGCCTCGCCTCCTACCTCAGGTTGCGCTGCCAAAGAGTAAGAGTGTAAGGGTTAGAATCTATGTGACTATGAATATATTGAAGCCAAAGAAACAGGGTGGTTAAAATGATGTTTCCATTGTAAATCATGAGCTCACAAATTGCACCAAACAGAAATGTGCAGCTTAGTGAATTACTGCCAGGCAAATTCCCATGAAGCCACCAACCAGGTCACAAAATCGAACACTGCAGGAGGTTCCTATTGTGTTCCTCCTAATCCTTCACACCTCCCTCCTCCCGCAACATGACCACTCTCCTGACTTGTATGGTAATCAGTTCCTCCCTTCTTTATTGTTTTATCACTATACTAAGCATGCATTCCTAAAACATAATTGTTTAGTTTTGCCTATTTAAAAAATACAGGTTGGAATTATATAGTTTGTCTTTTTTTTTACTTGCGTCTTTTAATATTTTGTTCGTGAGATTCACCCATGTTGTTGTGTGTAGTTGCAATTTGCTTGTTTTCATTGCTGTTTGGTATTTCACTGGGTAAATATAACACAATTTATGTTTCTATTTTTCTGTTTGTGGATGTGTGGTTCGTTTCAAGTTTGGGGCTATTATGAACAATGTGGCTATGACCATTTTTCACTTGTCTCAAATGAGGTGTGCATGCTGCCTGGGACTATTTTGTACCTGTGCACACATTTCTCTTGGGAAAAAATCTAGGAGTGGAATTGCTGAGTTATGAGGCATGCATATCTTAACTTTAGAACATAACGCAAAACTGGTTTCCAAAATAGTTGTGCCAGTTTACATGTTTATCAGTAGTATGTGAGAACTCCTGTTCCTCTACATTGTTACCAACATCTTGTATTGTCAGATATTTTAATTTTAGCCCATTCTCATGAGTGTGTAAAGATATCTCATCGTGGCTTGAATTTGCATTCCCATAATTACTAGTGAGACTGAGAACCTTTTTATGTGTTCAATGACCATTTGTATATCCTCTTTTGTGAAGTGCTTGTTGAAGTCTTCTGCTTATTTTTCTGTTTTCTTTTTCTAATTGATATGTAGGAGTTTTAAAAATAGACTGCATATAAACATTTTGTCTGTTATATATGGTACTAATATTTTCTTCCATTCTGTGGCTTACCTTTTAACTTTCTTAATGGGGTCTTTGATATATAGACTTTCCTAATTTTAACTTTTCTTAAATGTAATTTACTTTTAAAGTCCAATATTATCTCATATTGCATTACTCCATTTTCTGTTGCTCATAACAGAGCACCTGAAACTGGGTAATTTATAAAGTGTAGAAAATTATTTCTCACAGTTATGGAAGCTGAGAAGTCCAGGGTCGAGGGGCCACATCTGGTGAGGGTTTTCTTGCTGGAGGGGACTCTGCAGAGTCCTGAGGTAGCGCAGGGCATCACATGGCAAGGGGGCTGAGCATGCTAGTTCAGGTCTCTCTTCCTCTTCTTATTTAGGTAGGTGCAAAAGTAGTTGCAGTTCAATGGCAAAAACCGCAATTACTTTTGCATCGACCTAATAGAAAGCCACCAGTCCCACTCCAATGATAACTCATTAACCCATTAGCCCATTAATCTATTCATCCATTAGTCCATGAATAAATTAATCCATTCATGAGGGCACTGCTCTCATGAACCAATCATTTCTTAAAGGCCTCATCTCTCAATTGTGAAGGAAACCAAAATGGTTTACCCCAAAATATACTTCTTTGACATATTTTGAGATGCCTGTTCAGTTCAGAGGGCCTGCAGACAGAAGTAGCCCTACAAAGCTGTCTTTTGTGGGGAGATGTGCATCTACAGAGGAAATAAAGTGAATTAAACAATACATATGTAAGTGCTATCACTTGAATATTTGTCCCCTTGTCTGGATTTGCCACTCATTTGTTCTTTCTGAGGGCTGCTACCTGTGAGGTTTCTCCTGCATAACAAGACTGCCTTTTCCCCAGGTCTTTCCTCTTCTCTGTCTCCCACGACCTGTCTTTGCCACCATCCAAGCCCCTATTCTTTCTGTAACCCCAAGACAGTACAAAAACTTCAACCATCTTGCCTTTCTTTGAGTGTTTATATTTTTTATGACTCCTGTGCACACATGTGCACATAATAAAATTTGTATGCCATTTTTTCTGTTACTCTTTCTATTGTAAGTTTGTTCTATAGACTCAAATTATCGAATCTTCGGGGAAAACTTAAACTTCCCTACAACTGCCACATTGGGGATTAAATTTCAACATGAGTTTTGGAGGGGACAAATATTCAAGCGATAGCACTTACATATGTATTTTCTACATACATAAAATGCATTCCATATATATTTTCATGCATTCTAATATGTCAGTGCTTTCCTTTATGGTTAGGTTTTTTGGTATCTTAGTTAAAAGTTGTTTCTTACCCTGAGATTATATATTCTCCTATGTTATCTTGCAGAAGTTTTGTTGTTTTACCTTTCACTTTTAGATGTACAATTCCACCTTCAATTGACTTTTTAATGTGGTGTAAGGCAGGTATCAAGTTTACTCTTTTCCTCATATGAATAACCAATAGTTTTAGCAATATTTGTTAAAAATAATTTCCTACACTGTGTTCTGAAGTGTAATCTTTTTTTAAAAAAATAAATCAAGTATCTGAATATATGTGGGTGTGTTTCTGGGCTCCCCTTTCTGCTCCAGTGATCTATTTGATTATTCTTGCCTCAACATTATGTTTTCTTAAGTATTGTAGTTTTATAATGGGTCTTGATGTCTGGTAGAGCAAATTCTCCTACTTTGCTCTTCTTTTTCAAGATTGACTTGGCTATGTCTGGTCGTTTATTCTTTCATATAATATTTGGATCAGCTTGTTAATTTCTAAAAAAAAAATCCTGCTAGAATTTTTGATTAGGATTCCATTGAAACTATACATTAATTAGAAATAATTTACATCTTTATAATATTGAGTCCTATAAGTCATGAACATTAATTTACTTTGATTTTCTTTAGTTTTATTCCTAAGTACTTAATATATATTGATACAAGCATAAGTGGCATCTTTTAAAACAATTTATTTTTGGTTTCTTACTGATATATAGAAGTTCAGTTGATTTTTGTATATTGACCTTGTATTAATTCTAAGAATATGACATAAATTATGTTAAGAATCTTTTGAATTTTAGCTGTACATTATCATATAACCTACAAATAATTCCAGTTTTAGGAGTAGTTTTCTACTCTTCATATCTTTTATTTCTTTTTCTTGCCTTGCCTGACTAGCAACTCTTATAAAATGGCAAATAGTGGGGATGGCGAGCACCCTTGACTGATTCCTGATCTCAAAGGGGAAAAAGTTTAACATTTCATCACTAAGTATGCCACTTGTTGTGTATTTCTCATATATATCCTTTTTCAGATCAAGAAAGTTTGCTTCTATTCCTACTTCCTGAGGATATAAAAATATTGTGAATGTATATTAAATTTTATCAATTTTTTCCCTTCATCTTTTAAGACATTTATATGCTTTTTAAAGAACTTAATTCTACTAATATGATGATTTCCAGATATTAAACCAACTTACACTTAACTTATACTTTTTGGAATAAATTTTATTTGGTGTGATATATCTCTGGATTTAGTTGGCTAATATTTTGCTCAGAATTTTTCCATTTATTTTCTTGAGTGATATTTCCTTTCTCATAATGTCTTTATTGGGTTTTGGTATCAAGTTTATTCCTGCCTCACAAAGCAATTTATAAAATGTTTCCCCTTTTTCTCTTCTCTGGTTTGAAATTTCTAGTAGAATTTGCTGGTGAAGACATTTGGATCTAGATTTTCCTTTGTGAAAATATTTTTAATAGTATTTTTAGTTTTTCTAGTAGTTTAATAGTTCTAATAGCTTTAATATTTTATATTCTTGTTTCTGATATGGTAAGTTATATTTTCATAATTTTTTATTTCATAGAAATTTTCAGATATATTGGCATAAAAATGTATTCACAAAGTCTCATCATTTTATTACCTTCAGGATTTGCAACAATGTTCTTTTCTTTATTCTTGGCATTTGGTTATTAGTACCTTTTTTCATTTTACTTTACCAAACTCGTCAAGGATTTATTAGTTTTGATTTCTTTTTTTGTTACCCAGGCTGGAGTGCAATGGTGCGATCTTGGCTCAATGCAGCCTCTGCCTCCCAGGTTCAGCCAATTCTCCTGCCTCAGCCTCCTGAGTAGCTGGGATTACAGACACCTGCCACCATGCTTGGCTGATTTTTGTATTTTTAGTAGAGACGGGCTTTCACCATGTTGGCCATGCTGGTCTCAAACTCCTGACCTCGTGATCCACCTGCCTTGGCCTCCCAAAGTGTTGAGATTACAGGCGTGAGCCACTGCGCCTGGCTAAGGGTTTATTAAAAAGCTTTTGGTTATGTTGCTTCTTTCTATTGTATGCTTGTTTTCTACTTTGTTTTTATTTCTGCTCTTCTTTATTTTTCTATTTTCTTGTTTTGTAGTAAGTTTTGAAATCAAGAACCTTGACTCTTCCTACTTTGTTCTTTTTTTTCAAGATCATTTTGGCCATTCTGAGTCTCTTGCTATTCCATATGAATTTTAGAATCAGGTTGTCCATTCCTACAAAAAAGTCAGCTGGTATTCTGATAGGAATTGCACTGACTCTGTACATCAGATTGGTGAGTAGTGCTATTTTAACAATGTTTAGTCTTTCAGTCCACAAACATGGGATTTTTCCCATTTATTTAGATCTTTAAAATTTCTTTGAGCAATATTTTACAGTTTTTAGAGTATAAGTTTTGCTCTTCTTTTGTTAAATTTATTCCTAAGCATTTTATTCTTTTTGAATTGTAAATGAAATTGTTTTCAATGTAAATGAAATTGTTTTCTTAATTTTATTTTGGATTGTTCATTGAAATTGTGTAAACATATAATTGATATCATGCAAAGGAAAAAATAAGAGAGGAAGGTAATCTTGATGACAGTGTTTGAGACCTGGTTTCAGCTAAAGTGTATATTATTCCTTGACCATTCAGTTATCACTACTACCACTATTGAAATTACTACTATTACTATTTTGATTTAGTCTTCTCTTACTTGCAATCAAATGTTTATTGATTTGTTACTTGTATATTTTGGTTCAGCAATTAAAATAAATGTACTATAGTAATAGAAGATGTTAATATTAGAGGTTAGAGGGCTCTGGGTGTAGGATATAAAGAACTCTTTGTACTATCTTTGCAACTCTTTTTAAAATTTAAAACTATTCTAAAATTAAAGGTTTATTTAAAAATACAATTGATTTTTTTTTTTTGACAGACCCTCACTCTGTCACCCAAGTTGGAGTGCAGTGGGGCAGTCTTGGCTTACTGCAACCTCTGCCTCTCGGGTTCAAGCAATTCTCCTGCTTCAGCCTCCCAAGTAGCTGGGACTGCAGGCCTGTGCCACCACACCTGGCTAATTTGTGTATTTTTAGTAGAGACTGGGTTTCACCATCTTGGCTAGGCAGGTCTTGAACTCCTGACCTCAAGTGATCTGCCTGTCTCCACCTCCCGAAGTGCTGGGATTACAGACGTAAGCCACTGCGCCCAGCAAAAATACAATTGATTTTTGTATATTAATTTTGTATTCTGCAACCTCGCTCAACTCATTTATTAGTTCTAATAGTTTTTTAATAGATTCCTTAGGATTTTCTATTTTCTTTTTTTTTTTTTTTTTGAGACAGCGTCTCACTCTGTCACCCAGGCTGGAGTGCAGTGGCACAATCTTGACTCACTGCAACCTCTACCTCCCAGGTTCAAGTGATTCTTGTGCCTCAGCCGCCCCAGTAGCTAGGAGTACAGGTGTGTGCCACAATGCTGGCTAATTTTGGTATTTTTAGTAAAGACACGGTTTTGTCATGTTGGCCACGATGGTCTCAAAATCCTGACCTCAAGTGATCTGCCTGCCTCGGCCTCCCAAAGTCCTGGGATTACAGGTGTGAGCCACCATGCCTGGGCCCTTAGGGTTTTCTATGTACAAGATCATGTCATCTTCAATAGATAGAGTTTTACTTCTTTCTTTGTGATCTGAATGCCTCCTGTTCTTTTTTCTTGCCTAATTACCCCAACCGGAACCTCCAGTACAATGTTGAATAGAAATGGTGAGAGCATACATCCTTGTTTTGTTTCTGGTCTTAGGAGGAAAGTATCCAGTTTTTTACCATTGAGTATAATTTTAGCTCATTTAGCTGTTATTCTATTGGTATGGTGATTTAATTGATTTTTAGTTGTTGAAACCAAGCTTGCATTCTTAGGATAAATCGAACTTGGTCATGGAGTTTGATTTGTTTTATATGTTATTAAATTTGATTTGCTAGTATTTTGTTGAGGATTTTTGCATAAGAGGTATTGGTCTGTAATTTTCATTTCTTGTGCTATCTTCACCTGGTTTGGATAGTAAGATAATATTGGCCTCATAAAATGAATTGGAAAGTATTTCCTCCTCTTTTACTATTTGGAAGAGTTTGTGAAGAATTTGTATTAATTCTTCTTTAAGTATTTGATAAAATTCAGTGATTAAGCCATTTGGACTTAAGCTTTTCTTTATGGGTAGTTTTTGATTACTAATTCGATCTCTTTACTTGTTAAAAGTCTATTCAGATTGTCTATTTACTTTTGAGTCAGTTCCTGTAGTTTTGTTTTTGTCCTTCTATGGAAGGACATTTCTTCTAATTTATTGAGTTTTTTGGATACAATTGTTCATAATATTTCCTTATAATCTTTTTATTTCTGTAAGGGTAGTAGTAATGTCTTCTCTTTAATTTCTGATTCTAGTAATTTGAGTCTTCTTTCTTTTCTTATTGAACAATCTAACTAAAGGTTTGTCAATTTTGTTGATCTTTACAACAAACTGGCCTTGAATTAACTGCTTTTCTTTATTGTTTTTCTATTCTTTGTTTCATTAATTTCTGCTCTAGCCTTTATTATTCCCCTTCTTTGATTGCTTTAGGTTTAGTTTGCTCTTCTTTCTCCAGTGTCTTAAGGTGGAAGATTAGGTTATTGATTTGAGATCATTCCTTCTTCTTAATATAGGCACTGCAGCTATAAATTTCTGTCTAAGCACTGCTTTAGCTTTATCCTATAAGTTTTGGTATGGTGTGTTTTCATTTTCATTCTTGTCAATGTATTTTTAAATTTGCCCTTTTATTTCTTTTTTGACCTATTGGTTATATAAGGGTGTGTTTAATTTCCACATATTTCTGAGTTTCCCCAAATTTTCCATTGTTGATGTCAAATTTTATCCCAATTGTGGTCAGAGAACATACTTTGTGCTAGTTCTATTCTTTTAAATTTGTTAAGGTTTGTTTTATGGCCTAATATACGGTCTATCCTGGGGAATGTTTCATGTGCTCCTGAGAAGAATGTATATTCTGTTGTTGTTGAGTGGAGTGTTCTATAGAGATGTCTGTTAGGTCTCATTGGTTTATAGTGCTGTTCAAGTCTAATATTTCATTATTAATCTTCTGTCTAGTCTTTCTATCCATTATTGAAAGTGAGGTTTTAAAGTCTTCAACTGTTATTGCTGAATTGTATATTTCTCCCTTAGTTTCTGTCAATTTCACTTCATGTATATTGATGCTCTGTTATAAAATGCATACGTGTTTATAATTGTTATATCTTCCTGATTGATTGACTCTTTTATCAGCATGAAATGTCTCTCTGTCTCTAGTAACAACTTTTTTCTTTTCTTTTTTTTTTTTTTTTTTTTGAGACAGAGTCTCGCTCTGTCGCCCAGGCTGGAGTGCAGTGACACCATGTCGGCTCACTGCAAGCTCCGCCTCCCGGGTTCACGCCATTCTCCTGCCTCCGTCTCCCCAGTAGCTGGGACTACAGGCGCCCGCCACCACGCCCGGGTATTTTTTTGTATTTTTAGTAGAGATGGGGTTTCACCGTGTTAGCCAGGATGGTCTCAATCTCCTGACCTCGTGATCCATCCACCTCGGCCTCCCAAAGTGCTGGGATTACAGGCTTGAGCCACTGCGCCCGGCCCTTTTTTTGTTTTAAACTCTATTTTGTCTGATATCAGTACAGCCGCTTCAGCTTTCTTGTACTGTTTGTATATTTCTTTTTCCATACTTTACTTTCAATGTTTTTGTATCTTTGAATCTAATCTGAATCTAATCTTGCCCTCTTATACACAACATATAGTTGTATCATGTTTTTTTAACCAAGTCCAACAATCTCTGCATTTTTTAATTCATTCACATTTAATGTTGCTATTGATATTGTTGGATTTACATCTGCCATTTTGCTTTATATTTCTATATGTCTCATGTCATTTTGTTTCTCTATTACTTCTTTCTTGCTTTTTTACACTAAGTGAATATTTTCTAGTTAGGATTTTAGTTTCTTTAGTGTATTTTCTAATTTATTTTTATGAGTTTTTTTATTGATTGCTTTTGGGTTCACTGTACATCTTATCAGATTCAGCTTTAGATTTATACTAACTTATGGTGATATGTAGAAGCCTTACTAGTATATAGCTCTATTCACTTTTCCCTTTTCTTGTGGTATTATTGTTATGCATGTTACATCTATCAATGTTATAAACTTAATGATAAATTGTTGATTATTACTTTACCATCTGTCATCACATCCTTAGTTCAATACAGCTCTGCTTCTACCCACCTCTTTCGTGTCATTATTGACAAATACATTACACATAATAATACATTTCTCTATGTCACAGGCCCAAAATTACATTATATACACATTATTTTATACAATTGCTTCTGGTTTTTTTTTTTTGAGTTAGGGTCTTGCTCTGTCACCCAGGCTGGAGTACAGTGGCATGATCATGGCTGACTGCAGCCTCAAACTCCTCGGCTCAAGTGATCCTCCTGCCTTAGCCTCTGAGTTGCTGAGGTTACGGGCATGAACTACAGCACCTGGCTACAATTCCTTCTTAAATCACTTATGAAAAGAAAGCAGAAAAAAATAGACTTATACTGATTTTTATAATTAAATAATTATCTTTTCTGGTGCTCCTTATTTTTATTTGTTTGTATTCATATTAACATCTGGAGTCACATGCTTTCAGTCTGAAGAGTTTCATTTAGTATTTCTTGGAAGATAGATCTGCTATCAATAAATTCTTTTATTTATTTTTTTTATCTGGGTCAATCTTTATTTCCCCTTTATTAAAAAAAATGTGGTTTGGGCTGGGCGTGGTTGCTCACCCCTGTAATCCCAGCCCTTTGGGAGGCTGAGGCAGGTGGATTGCTTGAGGCCAGGAGTTTGAGAGCAGCCTGGCCAACATGGCAAAACCCTGTCTGTACTAAAAATACAAAAATCAGCTGGGCACATTGGTGCACACCTATAATCTCAGCTACTTGGGAGAATGAGAACTGAAAATTTGTTGAACCCAGGAGGCAGAGGTTGCAGTGAGCTGAGATCATGCCACTCCACTCCAGCCTGAGTGACAGAGCCAGACTGTTTCAAAATATACATTTAGTTTTGTTGGATACAGAATTCTTGGTGGACAGCTTTTTTTGCCCTTGAGTACTTTGAATATGTTATTGTACTGCATCCTTGCCTCTATTGTCCTGCTGAGAAGTCAACTATTAATCTTACTGAGGTTTCTTTGTAAGTAATTTTTCTCTTGCTGGTTTCAATATTTTCTTATTGTCTTTGACTTTCTGCATTTTTTACTATGATGTATCTGTGAATCTCTTTGCATTTATCATACTTGTAATTCTTTGTGCTTTCTGGATGTATATTGCTTTTTAATAAATTTGGGAAGTTTTCTGCCATTATTTATTCAAATATTTTTTCTTCTCTCTTCTTTCTCTTGTCCTTCACTCCCATTATGTTTGTGACTTTGAGGGTCTGTTTATTTGTCTTCATTTTGTTCTCTGTTCTTTTATTTGCATAATTTCTATAGACCTATCTTCAAGTTTATTAATTCTTTCTTCTGATAGTTCTAATCTACTGTTGTGCCCCTATAGTGAGTTTTTAATTTCAGTTACTCTATTTTTCAACTCTAGACTTTTCTTGGGGTTCTTTTAAAATAACTTCAATCTCTTTATTGATAGAAGATGTTTGATGCAACACTGCCATTATATCTTGCTTTTGTTTTTAAAATCATCCTCTCTTTCAGCTCTGTGAGCATATTTATAATTTGTACTTTGAAGTCTTTTTCAGTTAAATCCAATATCTTGTGGCTCTTAGAGGCAGTTCATGTTGCCTGCTCCTTTTTTTTTTTTTTAAACCAGTGTATGGGTCATACTTCTTTACAAGCCTTTTGATATTTCACTAGAAACTGGACATTTTAGGTAATATATTTCATTATAATACATTGTAGAATACTGTAGATAATATATTGTAGAAACTCTGAGCACTGGTTTCCTCTCTTCCTCCATGGGGCTTATAGTTGTCATTATTTGCTTGTTTGTTTTTTAGCAACTGGTTGGAGGAAGGGAACTCCCATGGCTTGATTGCACTCATTTGGAGCTTAGCCTCAGCAACAGGTAGCTGGGGACAGGACAACAAACACTGAAGTGCTCTTTCTTCTGGGAAGAAGGACTTCCAACTGTATGCTGGGGTGATACCTTGTCTTCTTGGTTGCAGCTATCTGGATTGGATTCTCTGCCTCACGGGGCTGGGATGGAGGGAGTCATGAAATACCACAGACTCTAAACTTTCTTACCCAAATTCTATGGGTTTTTCTTAAATAGATGTTTCTTAATTTTCTTTTTGTCCTTTGGACCATTTCCAGAGGCCTTAATTAAGAGGGGCTGGCAGAGCTCCTCATGTCATCATGCTGGAAGTTGATCTCCTACAGCATACATTCTTGAGTAATCAAAGTTTACTTGGCACATCACCAATTTCCTCGACAATGCAAGAACTTAGAGCATTTCAACTCATTTAGCTTCTTCCTGACTTGTTTGGTGTTTTTTGTAGGTTTTAATTCTTTACCTATTAAAACTCTCGCAAAGACATTATTATTACATTATACAGTTAATATTCATTTAGCTTTATATATGTATTTGCTATTTTAATATTTTTTCTGCATTTCTGTTTATCCATCTGAAATATACTCTATGTCTGAACACTATCATTTTTATTTTAGCTTGGGTGTATTTTTTATTATTTCTTTCCATTTTTGTTTGGCTGAAAATATTTTTATCTCACCTTCATTCTTGAATGATTTTTCTCTGAAGGTAGACTTCTAGGTAGGTAGTTATTTTCTTTCAGTAGTTTGAAGACATCATTCTATTGTCTTCTGGTTTTTATATTCTCTACTGAAAAATCAGTTGTCAGTCTACTTGTTGCTCCTTTGAAGGTAAAACAAGTTGTTTCCTCTAGCTGCTTTGAAGATTTTCTCTAGTTTTTGTCTTCAGCAATTACTTTCATGTGCCCAAGTGTAGATTTATTCTGACCATTATGTTTGGGGTTTGTAGTGCTTCTTGAATATGTAAACAAATGGCTTCCATCACTTTTGGAATATTTATTTATTTATTTATTTTGTAGGGATGCGGTCTCACTAGGTTATATCTGGTCCCAAACTCCTGGCCTCAAGCAATTCTCTTCCCTTAACCTCCTAAAGTGTTGGGATTACAGGTGTGAGCTACTGTGCCTGGCCTGGAATATTTTCATCATTTATGTCTTCTGTTCTATTTTCTTTGTCCTTTTTTTCCTGGTGCTTCAAGCACACATATGTTAGATCTTCTCATTCTATTCTCTTTGTCTCTTATACTCTCTTCTGTTTTCCATTCTTTTGTCCTTCTCTGCTTTACTCTGGTGTTTCCCCCATCCTTCCAGTTTAGTAAATCTCTTCAGTTATGTCTATCCAGAGGTTCCCAGGCTTTCTTGGCTCATAATATTCTTAATATCTCATTCCTCTTCCCTCCCCCACCATGGTGCTCCTAGGTAAAAAGGAATACCTAATAGTTTTCTTAAGTAGCTAGATCCTAACAGTATAAGTATTTGTGTCATAACAGAGTAGCCACCTTTTTGGCATTGCACAGCTTCTCAAATTATGGAATCATTGAATATTGCTACCCTCATTTCTTGCTTTACATTGATTTTCATGCAATAATCTCTTTGTATTACAGCGATCTCTGAAAACTTGGCTTTGCAAATATATGATGTTATCAGAAGGAAGGTAGCCATCTAATGTTGAAACTATGAACTACTTTGAGCTAATAGTTTGTGTTGTGTCCAACAGATAGCAATATGTTTCCTTTCAATATATAAACTATTTTGCAGCACTCCTGTGATGCACAGGAGCACCTGGGGCACCTTGGCACATGGTTTGAGAACAGCAGGTCTACTCTTTTGTTAAACATACCCATTAAGTACTGAGTTTCAATTATTGTTTGCATTTTAGTTCTAAAATGTCTATATTACTCTTTTTTCAAATCTTCTCTATCTTATTTAGAGATTGTTTTCAGTTTCCTGCCAAAATTCTCAATGTTTTCTTGAGCATAATAACCATAGTTACTTTAAAGTCTATAAGTGGTCACCCCGATATCTGTGTATCTGCAGATCTGTTTCTATTGGCAGTTGTTTCTGTTGTCATTATCCTGTCTTTTTATGTGCCTGATTGTGATGATAAGGATGATGGTGATATTGATGATGATGGCAGAGATGATGATGTCGATGACATCCTGGACATTGCATTTGAAAAACTATGTGTAGAACAGTTTGAGGCCTAGATGACATTGTCTTCTCCTAGAGAAGATTGACACTGGATCTTGACCGGTGCTTTGTGTCACTAGTAATTTTACTCCACTCTCAGAGACTGGTATGCCTCAGAGCTGTGCTTCAGTCTCTGAGAGCTGCTCCAATTTTGGTTCACATTTATTGTGAGATGCTTTCCTCAGGATCCCCACCCTAGGCTTCAGGAACAGGGATGTTTTCTAAGTCTCCCTGACATTATTGTATTCTGGATCCCATGAAGCTGTCAAAATTCTTCTCAGTCTGTCTTTCAGACACTTCTGATGAAACTGAAAATGCCACCAGGGAGAAGCAGCTGAAGTGAGTATCTTTTTTTCCTTTTATTTTTTTTCTGCAACCTAACCTGGTGGTTCTTCACTATCTCATTAGCTCTCTTATGCTCTTAAAGAAGATTTTAACAGAAACCTGTTGTTCAGTTTTTCTGTCCTTAACAGAGGAGTTAGCTCATCTTGCCTACTACCATCAGAAGCAAAAGTTTGGGATGATGTCATTTCAACCTGCAGAAATGTATTCATTCCGTGGTTGTGGGGGGACAGGGTAAACCAAACTGTGCTTTTATTTAGGATTATACATTACTTTAGAAATAAGTTCTTTTATTCAGAAAGGGATGATCCTAGGTAATCCTGAATGGGAGGATCTTGCAGTGAAGGGCTGGGGTGAGAAAGGGGGGCAGTAAATATCTTTTAATATTAGGATATCTTTTTATATTAGGAGGATTTTTTTTTGTTTCACCCCAGCAATGTGAGAGATAGAATGGATGCCCTAAAGAAGAGGATGCAGCAGAAATTAGGAAGAGATAAAGAAGAGCAACATTCCTTAAGAAATGCCCTATGGTTGGGAATGGCCATTTCATGTTAGAAACAAAGGTGATAATATTCAATTCTGGGCAGTCTTCTGCTTAGTGCGATAACTACCTTTTTTCTGAGATAGAGTTTTGCTCTTGTTGCCCAGGCTGGAGTGCAATGGCGCAATCTCGGCTTACTGCAACCTTTGCCTCCCAGGTTCAAGTGATTCTCCTGCCTCAGCCTCCTGAGTAGCTGGGATTACAGGCATGTGCCAACACACCTGGCTAATTTTGTGTTTTTAGTAGAGATGGGGTTTCTCCGTGTTGGTCAGGCTGGTCTCAAACTCCCGATCTCAGGTGATCCACTTGCCTTGGCCTCCCAAACTGCTGGGATTGCAGGCATGAGCCACTGCGCCTGGCCTCCCTTTTTTAACTCACCCTCCAAAACCTTTAGTAAAATCTATTTTACCCAATGCCTTTGTTTTTGTGGTGTCTTGGGGGAGAAAGGTAGGTTCTCCCATGTGGTAAGAAGGAGCAGGGATTGGACAGAAGCACATGGCCTGAGGTAATGGACAAGATACTGGATGGGAGAACACCAGGAGAATGCCAATACCTTCCCTGCTTGTCCCTGGGGTTTAGGGCATCTACTGGACTCCCCAGTCATATAAGTTTCAAACAGTTCTAAAGCTGTAGCCACACTCCCAGAGGTTCCCAGATTTAATTGGTCTTAGAGAAGACACACCCCTGGGTTTTTTTTTTTTTTATAAAAGCTCCTCAGGGGGTTTTAACATGTACCTGGGATTGAGACTCACTGTCCTAGATGTACCCTCTCCATCAGATGTGGAGGGCCTCTTCTTTCTCAGCCCCACAGGGCACTTGAGCACATTCAGATCTATTTGTGAGATGTGATGAAACACCAAATTATTACTGTCAGTGGCTCAGGCACAATATCTTAATGAAAAAAGTTGATTGATGAGGACAAGAGGCAAAGACAGAAGTCATAAGTGAATTTTTGAGTTTGTCTTCCTCGTTTCTGAATAGTTCAGAGCTGGGTTTTGCACTGTGTGCAGCCTGAACCTTCCAAAGCTGGCCTCAGCAATGTCTCCCTTCCTGCATGCTCCTCTGCAATGTGACCCTGACACTCCTCCATCAAGAGGTGGGGCCCAACTTCCCTCTTCTTGAAGCTAGGTTCATCTGTGACTTCTTCAACCCATAAACTTTGGCAAAAGTGATATGCTGTGACTTCTGGGGTTTGGTTGTGAGTGACCAGGCAGCTGCTGCCTTGTTCAGATAACACTTGTGCTGAGGTCGCTGAGCCACTGTGGAAGACATCCAAGCTCCATAAAGACAGGTCAAGTGCACATGCTCCAGTCAACAGCCCAGCTGAGCCCTCAGCATACAGCCAACACCAACTGCAAGCTGAGGGTGAAACAACTTGGATGTCCATTTGGATGTCAAGCTGGACTTCAGATGCCTGTGGTTGCAGCTCTGTCTGCAACTACATGGAAGACGCCATGTGAACCACCTAGTAGAGCCCTTCCTAGAATTGTTGGCCCTCAGACTCTACATGCATATCAAAATGAATGTTGTTTGAAGCCATAAGTTTTGTTGTGATTTGTTACGCAGCAACAGTAACTGCAACATCACAGGATCCTTGGGGTGTCATTTTCTGGCCAGAAACCTCTGTGGCTGGTGGTGCCTTTGCCCAAGTTTTGCTCAGGCTCACTGGGCTCATTCTGCCCACTCAGCCTGATAGGCTGTACTTGGCTTGTGCTACCAGCCTGGATCCCATGCCTGCCAAAGGTGAGCCAGGCATGGAGTGGTGAGGGATGTGTGAGCGAGCAAGCATGGGGCCCGGCCACTGTGCACAGCCAGGCATGCTGGCTGTGGTGGGGCGGGCAGCTCCAGATGCTGGTACAGGTACTGCTTGCCTGTGAGGCTGCAGCTGGACCAGGCTTCTGGTCCATAGAAAAGAAGCTTCTATGGCTGGCATCAGGGAAGGCAGTGGTGCCTGAAAGCTTGGAGATACCAGGAAACACAGAGCCCCAAAGAGGGTGTCATAGCCCTGGCTTGGGGAGCTCCTAGGTCTGGGGTCCCCAAAGGGCTACAGCTCTTTTTGCCTTCTCTCTTTTCTCCTTCTCATTGCCTGAAACCTGGTGAGCAATGGGCATATTTCAGCCCTGTTTGTATTACAGTTCTTTCTGCCCCACCATTTGGTGGGTCCCAAGTCCTTGTCCTGCATCCAGGAACAATGAGGTACTCAGACAAGTGGAGGGTGAGCATGGTGAAGAGGAGCTTTATTGAGTGGCAGAACAGCTCAGAGGAGACCAGCAGTTGGTAGATGCTCTTTGCAGGCAGGTTGTCCTGTCATCTACCCAAGTCTGGCTGAGTCCAGGGTTTTTACGGACTTTAGAGGGGAGGAAGTGCATGCTGACTGGTCCGTGGGCAGCCATGGTCGGTGGGGGCGGGGGGGCAGAGAAAACACTGTAAGTTCTCACCTTGGTCCACGGAGCTGACAGCCTGGCCCCACACTTCAGGCAGTCCCTGACTTGAAGGTGGGGCTTCACTGGGAACCAGTCCCTTTCTGCTCAGGAGCCTATCTGCCTCCTGCCACCATTAACCTGCCATCCACAGTGCCCATGATGCCCAGGCTGTTTGTGCTGAGGGGTGACTGCAGGCCTGTGCTGAGCCACCCTTAGCCCTGCCTCAGCCTCCCTGCCATGCTTATCAGTGCCCAAAGTCTGAAGGTGGCCGAGGTGGGAGGGGGCTGGTGTGTCAGCACTGTCTTGAGTATATGCACACCTGGCTAGGTCATGACAGTGCTGGGGTCAGCCACAACTTTGCTTTGAAATTGGAGTGGGTGCCAGGAGAGGCAGAGGCCAAGCAGCAGGAACGGGTACTTTTGAAGCTGCAGGGGAAGGGAGACTACTTTCTGGGATCCCAAGAGTGCAGAGATGCCTAGGTCCACAGCTGTGCCTGGATGGCTGCAGCTGCACCCAGGAGGGTGGGGCTCCTGCCTCTCCAACTTGGAAGCAGGCAGGGCTTCCATCTGTTCCTGGCTCCTGCTGACTCCATGGAGCATGCAGTCCAGTCACACCTTCTCCACTGCAGCTGGCATCATGGCAGCAGGTGTCCCAGATGGGCTGCCACCATCACCAGTAACACACTGTAAATTGTTATTCTATTCCATAAATATTACTGGGTGGCTCTTGTATTCCAAGATTTGTGTTGGGTGCTGTGGACACTCAATGAAAAGACTTGGCCCCTGCCTTCAAGTTGCTTATAGTCTAGGTGGGGAGATAGGCATAGAGGAGGATGATGCACTGTCTTAAGTGCTGTTTTTGTGGTAGACATTGTTACTTGTCCCCAGTATCTGTTCTCACATTCCTGCTTAATAACAGAAATCCTGAGAGTTGACTGGGCACAGGTCTCTCAGAATAAAAAGATGTTTCCTGGCTTCCTTTGCAGTTAAGTGTGGCCATACAAGCAGGTTCTGATCAATGAGATGGATGCTGATGTGGTGTGTGCAGCTGCTGGGAAGTGCTCTCAAAGGAGAAAGATGTGCTCTTCCTTCTCTTTCTTCCTTCCAGGTGGCCAGAATGTGAGTGAAGCTTGCACCATGAGGTGAATGCAACATCCAAAGAATACAATATTAGAGAGAAAGAGGCTGGGTCCTTGATATTGTTTGGATGTGTGTCCCCTCCAAATCTCATGTTGAAATGTGATTCTCAATGTTGGAAGTGGGGCCTGTTGGGAGGTCTTGGATCATGGGGGCAGATCTCTCATGAATGGCTTAGCACCATCTCTTTGGTGATAAGTGTGTTCTCACTCTATTAGTTCACATGAGAGCTGATTGTTTAAAAGAACCTGGCATCTCTCTTGCTCCTTCTCTTACTGTGTGACACACCTGTTTCCCCTTCACCTCTGCCATGATTATAAGCTTCCTGAGGCCTTATCAGAAGCCAAGCAGATGCTGGTGCCAGGCTTTTACAGCCTGTAGAATTGTGAGCCAAATAAATCTATTTTCTTTATACATTACCCAGTCTCAGATATTTCTTTATAGCAACTCAAAACAGACTAACACAGAAAATTGGTACCAAGGAGTGAAGCATTGGTATAAAAATACTTGAAAATGTGGAAGCAGCTTTGGAACCGGCAGACGTTGGAAGAGTTTGGAGGGCTCAGATGAAAACAGGAAGTTGAAACATTGGAATTTCTTAGGGACTGGTTAAATAGCTGTGACCAAAATGCTGATAGAAATATGAACAGTGAAGACCAGGCTGACGAGGTCTCAGACGGAAATGAGAAAGTTATTGGGAACTGGAGCAAAGGTCACTCTTGTTACTCCCTAGCGAAGAACTTGGCTGCATTGTGTCCATGTCCTAGGGGTTTGTGGAAGGTTGAACTTAAGAGTGATGACCTAGGGTATCTGGCAGAATAAATTTCTAAACATCAAGGCATTCAAGATGTGGTGTGGCTACTTCTAACTATATGATCAGATGTGGGAGCAAAGGAATGACTCAAGATAGGAACTTACCATTACAGGGGAAGCAAAGTATAAAAAATTGAAAGATTTGTAGCCTGGCCGTATAGTAGAGAAGGAAAGCACATTTTTAAGGAGAGGAATTGAAGTGGGCTGAAGAGCAACCACTTGCTAGAGAGATTTGCATGACTAAAAGGGAGCCAAGTGCTAATATTCAAGACAATGGGAAAAAGGCCTTTAAGGCATTTTGGAGATTTTTGAGGCAGCCTCGCCCATTACAGGCCCAGAGGCCTAGGAGGAAAGAGTAGTTTCAAGTGCCAGACCCAGGGCCCTACTGCTTCACACAGGCTGGGTTCACTGCACCCCATATCCTAGCTGCTGCAGCTCGAGTCATGGTTCAAAGGGCTCCAAGTACAGCTTGGGCCACTGCTTCAGAGGGTGCAAGCCATAGCCTTGGTGACTTCCACATGGTGTGTTAAGTCTGCAGGCTTTCAGAATGCAACAGTGAAGAAGGCTTGGCAGCTTCCACCTAGATTTCAGAGGATGTATCAGAAAGCCTGGGTGCCCAAACAGAAGCCTACTGCAGGGAGCCCCTGTATGGGAGTGCCCCTATATGGGAGCCCCTGCAGAGAGCCCCTACATGGCAAGTACCAAGGGGGTAATGTGGGGTTGGAGCCCCTGCGCAGAGTCCCCACTGGGGACTATCTAGTGGAGCTGTGGGAAGGAGGCTACCACCCTCCAGACCTGAAAATGCTAGAACCACTGGCAGCTTGCACCCTGAGCATGGAAAAGCCACAGATACTCAACTCCAACTCAAGAGAGAAGCCATGGGAGCTGTATTGTACAAAGCCACAGGGATGGAGCAGTCCAAGGCCTTGAGAGCCTATCCCTTGCACCACTGTGCCCAGGATGCAGGATATGGAGTCAGGATTATTTTGGAGCTTTAAGGTTGAATGTCTCCTTTTCTGGGTTTCAGGTTTGCATGGGACCTGTTGCTGCTTTCTTTTGGCTGATTTCTCCCTTTTGGAATGGAAATATTTACCCAATGCCTGTACCACCATTGTATCTTGGAAGTAAATAACTTGGTTTTGATTTTATAGGTTCATAGGTATAAGGAACTTGCCTTGAATCTCAAATGAGACTATGGACTTTTGAGTTGATGCTGGAATGAGTTAAGACTTTTGGGAATTATTGAGAATGGATGATTGTATTTTGCAGTGTGAGAAGGACTTGAGATTTGGGGGGGCCACAGCCAAAATAATATG